>NC_000010.11:2131212-2282727 GCF_000001405.40 Homo sapiens | reverse complement strand
GAAGTTAAAAGCTAAAGGCATGTCGTTTAATATTTCAAAACTATCCTGGAGTATTTTAGATTATTTCAATGTTTTCCTGCTAGATATGTGAATACACATTCCTGATTATTTGCCTGTGAATTAACTCACAAAAAGAGATCCAATATAGGGAATTAATACAAACTGGTTACAACCACAGCATGTTATAGCTAGAAACGTTTTTCTCCTCTGAGGTTATTTTTCTTCATGTGAGGTTTCTGGTGCCTATTGATTGGGCGAAGAAGGTTGATGGGTAATTTAACCTCCCCTGGGCTGTGCTGGGCGTCAGTCCTTCCCCTGCCTCTTCCTTCTCCATCTGAATAGCTGATTGCCTCCCTTTATTATGTGGGCTGAGCCTGACTCCAGTATTTCACGCTTGCACTCATTTGCAGCCAAGAGTACCCCAGGAGGAAACCCTGCCCTTGTAATGATCTATTGGCAGGTAGAGGACGGCGTGCACATCATTACAAATTAAATATCTGTCTTGGAGACTCGGGGACAAGCACAGTGCCATGTTGCATGTTAAATCCAAGAGAAACTTTGGAAGAAAAAGTTCATGTTACAAATTGATTGACCATCACCAGGCCAAGTAAAGGCAGAAGCTCTCAATAGTCCTTACTGCCTTCTTACTGTTCTCTTCCTCCTTTTCTTCTGCAATAAGCTCTAAGGCATATTTAAAAATTTAATGGGCACACACAGTTGACTCTCACCTCTCCATACACACACACGTGCATGCACAGATCTGTAGAAAGCCCTAGGTTAGAGTTTCAACGCCAGTGTTGCTCCGATCAATCGATATTTCATCCCTGGTTTTCAGCTTTAGAAAACACCCCCAAAGGTGCCTCAGGACGTGAAGATAAACAACAGGAATTCCTCGTTTTTCTGGACAAGTCTTTTTCAAATGTGAAAAGTGTACAGGCACTTCATAATTAAAAAAATAAAATTCACTCTTTTGACATACAATGTAAATATATACTTATTTTTTACCATAAAAGAAAAGCAAGTTTAAAAATTCCATGTAAAAGGCCGTCTCTTCCTCCTCTCCTGTTATCCATCCCTGCACCCTGAGAGGACCTACGGGTAGTGAAACCCTGTAACCACCAGCAGACGTGGCGGTCTGACCAGTATCCTCTGACAGGAGCCAGGGGTCTTTGGAGAAATGGCTCATTTCTAGGGCTGGAGGAGTCCTCATTGTGCCAGAAAAAATGTAAGAGATCAATGATGAGGGAGGAACCTAGAGAGAGAGGAACCTAGAGAGAGAAGGAAGAAAAATCCGATTTCCGTGTAGGAGCCTGTAATTAACTGATGACTCGATGGGAAAAGCATAGGCAGGTTTCCCCTTCTCTTCAGGACTCTGCTTCCCGCAATTAGGGATGTGTAAGAATTTCTTTCTTGCACCGGATCGTACCTCCATGCCCTCCCAGAGGGCATAAGCACAAAATCTGGGGATTAAAACAACCTACGTTGTACAGACTTTTGCAGTTTGCCAGTGTCTTTCAAACACATGCTCTTATTTGATCCGGGGGTTACTGCATGTCTAAAACACACAGTGTGTGGCAAGGCTGAGATTCAAGCCCAGCTTCCATTTCCAGGCGCTGACACTATATTGCACAATGAAAAGCAATATTGCACTATGCAGCCATAATTATATGCAGGAATATACCTCTGCCAAGAAACCCTGCATTCTTGAATCAGATTTTAAGTAGTATTCAAAGTCACTTTAAGAATAAGTGAAACTCAATTAATTGACTATAATCTGCTTAAGAGGATTAGCATATCAAAAGAAAGAATGTGTCAATAAGAATTAACAGAAGTAAGCTGTGCTCATTCAAGTTGTCTGAGTGCCATGTGAGGATGGGACTTCGGTATTGTGTATTCCGTGTACAACCACCATGGAGGCCCAGACATGGGCCCAGCAGAACCTCAAGCTATTAAAACTTCAAGCCAAATGATTAACTCCCTTTGCTCTGATATCATGAAGAAATCATCCAATAATTTGACTTCATATGTAGCTCTTCTCCAGGGAAATGGTATGCCCATGAACCTCCAGTCCATAAGACAATTCTATTTCACATGAAAGATTAGCTAATAATATCTATGATTTCTGTACTTTGATCTTTGATTGAGGCCATGAGGACCTATCACGTTCTCCATTTGCCTGGCTTCAGCCTGCTCCTTCCTCAGAGCTGGTCAGACCTTTCCAATGTCTATGCTGACATCTGAGATTTTGGGAGACCGTTTGTGTTGCAGAATGATGGGAAACCTCGCAGGGAAGGTGAAGTTCGTTTTAACCACTTCATTTTACGAGATGTGGAGGAGGTTCTTAAAAGCACTGGTAAAAATAAATTGCTCAAGGTGGGAAAGACAGATTGTGTTTAGAATTATTGCAAGAGGGGAAAGAGATGTCCCTATAGGACAGAGCTCAATTCCCAAAACAAACAGGGTGGCTGGGTTTACAGCCAGCCAGCAGAGTGCAGGGGCAGGAGATGGGATCACTAGGTGAAGACCCTCAGGGTAGGGGATTCTCGGTAAAATGACCTAACAGGATTCTTTCTAAAGGCAGCCAAGGACTTAGGCATCATGGGTAGGGTATGAGGAAGTTGATTCCTTATTGAGGGTGGGGAATTCTTGGGAAAGTGACATATCAAGATTCCTGCTAAAACTGGGCTGGGAAGGCAGGACTGGGTCCCGGGAGAAGGCCAGGTGGGGAAGAGGCTCAGAGGAAGCTGTGGGACATTTGCTCAAGGAGAGTCTCTGTCAGGTCAGAGCCAACTGCAGGCTCTCTTAGCTCAGAATTCCAAGCCGTCCAGGAATTGGAATTCCTTTTACTTCTTTCTGCATGAGTTGATGAGGCTGACTCAGCCATCCCCCCTCAGGAGGGACACTAGGCCTTTCCCCATTTCACTGCCTGTGTCAATACATGTAAGCACACATCTTTACTTCTGTGCTGTTTCTTAAGATAAATTCCAAGAGAGGGGTTCGTGCATTCAGCACACGTGCAATCTTTGTGGTTCCCAGATTATCCGATAGACCTCTAGAAGAGGATGGCGCCAATTTAGAAGGCAAAATTAACCCCTTATGAGTGATTCAATGTCCTCTTGCCCTTATCATCCTTGTGTGTTATGATTTAAAACACCAATGGAGCAAGTACGAACATTTACTGCCGATTCACCTCATCTGCATTTCTTTAATTGCCGTGGATGATTCTGTTTCCCGTTTCATCTGTGTGAATTTTCTGAAGCCTTTTAAAATGGCCTAGGCATTTATTTTACTAAATTCCAGAGCACTCAGACATCAGCATGACCCGAGGCATAAATAGTGTGGTGCCTGCAAGATACATCACACAAGTGCAGTGACACTGCCGTTCCAGAACTTTCCAGATACCTGATTGAAAATCCCGATTTAAAAAAATGAAGTATTTTGAAGATGTGTAGATATTTTTCCAATATAATAATGTAAGATTCTTTCTGAAATGTTTTACAAAAATGATCGTCATTCAACATAGACTGAGACAAATAACCAAAAAAGTAATGAAATAAAAATAATGGTAATGGTGGCTGATTTTTTATTAGTATTTTATTATTAATTTAGTTTATTTCTTGTATATTATAAATTCTTGTCTTGTTAACATCTGTACCTATCTCTCTTCATCTAATTCATTTTACAATTATCTCTGCAAATTAGTAAATTGGCACTATTGTTTTTATTATTAGTATCTGGGGACTTCAGTCATCTTAGTTTACTTTTTTAAGGTTCTACCTAATCTAAAACATGACAAGCTCTGTTTTCTGGAGACTCAGGAGAATGAGTAGACCTTGGAGCTGTATATGTACAGGGATATAGTGATAATTTTTAGACATTAGAAAGGAAATGCTTTTCTTCATGTCTTGAGCCACTTTTTTCTAACTTCAATGTAAATTACAACTTAGCCCATTTATTTGAGTTGGCGCTAGTGCCTGAGAGTGTTGAAGAACTGTATTCCACGTCTTCTGAACAATGTCTTTCAAAGAGTCCCAGTGGGCTCTGCCCTTCCCGGCCTCCATTTGACCTACGTTGTCTCCGACCTCCCACAGAACAGCCCCCACACCCGCAGAGACGCTGTCTTCTGTCTCATTGATTAGGGGTTTCTGTGTAGCGCAGTGAAAAGCCTCTCTGAAGTGCAGATAGATTACATCTATTGTCTCTCCCGTCTGAGTGTCCTGCCACTCCATGGAGAGATGGAAATTAAATTGACTTGGCACAGTCTGTCCCTCACTGAGTGAAGGAGCTGATTGTACTTCACGGCCCTGTCCTCTTTGGCGTGATTGCAAATTGATGAGTTGACAATGTATTCCCATTTCTTCCCCACTACTGACATTTTAGGCTGACCAGTTAATGATTATAATGATAAAACTTTTCTTTTAATTTCAAAAATGAGCAGTATCATCCATCCTTTCCATGATTTCAAGAACTGCCTGTGATTTCCACTGGTTATCATAGATATCTGAGGATTACTTGAGAGCCTGCCATGAGGGCCCCTGCCCTGGTTTCATTGCCCCAGAAGCTGCTCTGATCACCTTTCCATATTATAATTCACCACAATCCAGGAAATGCCCCTAGATTCTCTAGATTTCCTTGTCTTTGCTGAATTTATTGATATTCTTACATAAAGATGAACCATATATAGGTATAGTGATGGTGGTTGGGGGAATAAAAAAGCTTTAACAAATTAAAATGAAGCTGAAATTCTTTAAGGCACTTTTCTGAGTATGTTCACATTTTAAAAGTGCACATTTTTATTTAGTGCTATACAAATTTTCAGATAACTGTTCAATTACAACATAGGCTGAGATTCAAATCACCAAATAATTATGTGCAGATTATAGGAAAAAATGCTTAGAGTATTTTATATAATCTGCGATGAGGAGTGATGATATGATTTCAGCTGTATATTAATGCTTACTAAAGTAAACAAAAGTGTTTCAACATCTTCAGCCAGGTATTATTTTTTCTTTTATTTTTATTCATGAATTTTTAATTCAGGTTATAATTGCACATATTTATGGGATACACAGTAACATTTTGATACATGTATTTAATGTGTGATGATCAAATCAAGGTAATTAGCATATCCATCGTCTCAAATATTTATCATGTCTTTGTGTTGTGAACATTCAAAATCCTCTCTTCTGTCTAGCTTTTGGAAAATACACAATAAGTTATTGTTAACCATACTTAATACTTACCCTGGAGTTAGTTAACAACTATAAAATTACAGCTGGGTAGGAGGAATAAGTTCTAGTGTACTGTAGAAAGCTACTCTTGGAATTGTAATTAGGAGCCTTGGAAACTGCATTCATTCTTCCAGGTTCCTGCCATCCAGTGACTGTACCAGTAATAATTTTCTAAATGGTGCCCTTGTATCCTGCAAGGAGTGAAGCAAATTACCAAAGCACACAGCATGCAGCTGAGCTCCAGGAGGAGCCGGGACCTCCCGACACCATCCACAGAAGCACAGGTTGCTCCATCAGTCTCCAAAGCAGCGTCACAGTAGACTGTCTGACTTTCAGAATCTCTGTCCACGCTGGGTTGCAACCTGTTCATAAGAAAAGAAAGGAAGGCTGACAAGAAAAAGTGCATCTTATTCAATGCAAGAGCAAGACACTTATATCAGCTCTGAATGTGTGCCAGCAATGGTCACTGGGGCCAGGCAGCCTTCACTCAGGTCACTCCTTCCGAGGCACAACACCGTCTGCACACAATGGGCTTCACCTAGGAATAGTTGCTTGTACTTCTGCAGAAAATGAATTAGGAGGCAAGAACAGGCAGGATGCTACCACAGTCAACTTTGGGAAAAACCACATAGAAAGCATAAGTGAATCAGTGATTGGCGTCACGCAATGCTGCTCCATTCCATCAACTTATTTGGCACATATTTTTGAAACGCACTCAAAAGGATCATTTGTGTTGCATGCATTTTGACTGTATCGTATCTCCCCTTTATCACGTCCTATCTGCTCATTTGACAGGAGTGAGTGCAGAGTCCGCCTTCCATCTGGAGAAGCAGGAGTATGGTGGCTGGTGCAGGGTGGTCAGGGCTTCCTGGGAAGAGCCCAGAGGGGTGAAGGCACCATCCTGCTGGGCCTCCTCTAAGCACAGCCTGCGGACCCTAGAGGCTTACGAAGCCTGTTCAGTTCTGCATGGAGGAAATCGACGCTAGGAGCTGATTTGAAAGAGTGGCCTATTTATTCATGTAATAAATATTGGTTGAATGTTTTCTGTGTGCCTGGCAGTATCCTAGACATCGTTCTCCGATAAGGGTGCAGTGGTTGAGGTAGTGGGGAGTAGCAAGCAAATAGTTAAATGAACTGGGCAAAAATCAGAGTGAGAGATGTTATGAACACAAACAAGCCTAAATCAATACATAAGCAGACCCTCCCCTCTCCCCAACAAAGAGACAAACCTGGTATACAGGGCAATGCCATGGAGAATGAACAGGGTATGGTGAATAAGAGGTCATTTACAGTAGTCAAAACTGATTCACAGTAAAGGTCCTGAGGAATGGGATGGTTGAACCCTATGTTTTAGCCTGTCCTTGCATTGCTATGAAGAAATACTTGAGACTGGGTTATTTATTTATTTATTTATTTATTTATTTATTTTTATTTTTTGGAGATGGAGTTTCACTCTTGTTGCCTAGGCTGGAATGCAATGGTGCAATCTCAGCTCACCGCAACCTCCATCTCCCGGGTACAAGTGATTCTCCTGCCTCAGCCTCCCGAGTATCTGGGATTATAGGCATGCACCACCATGCCCGGCTAATTTTTTATATTTAGTAGAGACGGGGTTTCTCCATGTTGGTCAGGCTGGTCTTGAACTCCCGACTTCAAGTGATTTGCCCACCTCGGCCTCCCAAAGTGCTGGGATTACAGGCATGAGCCACTGCACCAAGCCTGAGACTGGGTAATTTATAAAGAAAAACAGTTTCATTGGCTCAGGCTTCTGCAGTCTGCACAGGATACATGATACTGGCATCTGCTCAGCTTCTGGGGAGGCCTCAGGAAACTTACAGTCATGGCAGAAGATGAAGCTGGAGTAGGCAGGTGATATGGCAGAGCAGGAGTGAGACAGAGGGAGTGAAGTGCCACACTTTTAAACAGCTAGATCTAGGGAGAACTTGCTCACTATTGAGAGAAGAGTACCAAGGGGATGGTGCTGAACCACTCATGAGAATCCACAACCATGAGCCAACCACCTCATACCAGGTCCAACCTCCAACATTGGGAATTGCATTTCAACATGAGATTTGGGTGGGGACACAGATCCAAACTATATCACGCTATAACTATATTTTTAAGATGATAATAAATCAGATTTGCATTTTTCAAACCTTCCCACCCAGTTTGTAGCTTATCTGTTCATATTATTAACTGTGTATTTCAAAGAGCAAAGACTTTTTATTTCTATGAAATCTTGTTTTCTGCCTAGAGCTCTGCCTAGCAAATAGAAAATAAATATTTATTACATGAGTGAATAAGCTGCTATTTCAAATCAACTCCTAACATTGATTTCCTCCATTAACTTATTAACATTTTACCAATTTAGGGCATGATTTTGTGTTGCATCGTAGAAATCTTTGCCAAACCCAAGGTCACAAACATTTTCTCTTATGTTTTATTTTCAAAGTTTTTTTTTTTTTTTTTTTTTTTTTTTTTTTTTGAGACGGAGTCTTGCTCTGTCGCCCAGGCTGGAGTGCAGTGGCGCGATCTCGGCTCACTGCAAGCTCCGCCTCCCGGGCTCACGCCATTCTCCTGCCTCAGCCTCCTGAGTAGCTGGGACTACAGGCGCCCGCTACCAAGCCCGGCTAATTTTTTGTATTTTTTTTAGTAGAGACGGGGTTTCACCGTGTTAGCCAGGATGGTCTCGATCTCCTGACCTCGTGATCCGCCCACCTCGGCCTCCCAAAGTGCTGGGATTACAGGCGTGAGCCACCGCGCCCAGCCTTATTTTCAAAGTTTTAAAGCTCTGTTAGCATTTAGGTCTGAAACATTTTGTGATTTTTTTTAATATCATGAAAAGTATGTATTAAAGCTTAATTTTTGCACATGGATGTATAATTTTCCCACACAATTTGTTGAAAAGAATATTCTTTCTTAATTAAATTACCTTTGCATCTTTGTTTTCAGTTGACTATATAAGTAAACACATGAATATCTAGACAATTTTCTTGCAATTATTCTTTGTATCTCTGCTTTTGCCAATGTCACAACACTTTCTTTACTCCTGTAGCTTGAACAGTGGATCTTGAAATACGGTAACATCTTGCAAGTCTATTCTTGTTTTCAAAATTCTTATTACTATTCCAATTTCTTTTATTTTTTTCCATATACCTTTTAAATCAGCTTCTCAATAACTACCAAAAAGTCCTGCTGAGATTTCGATCACTATTGCTTTAAATCAATAAATCAATCTGGGAAGATTCCACATCTTAACAATATAGAACCTTCCAATTCATAAACACAGCATATTTCCATGTATTCAGTTGATTGTCAACATAGAGATGATGAACAGGCTTTATGAAATTATTACCTACTGTTCAGTGTTTTTGGTACAATTATAAATGGCACTGTGTTTTAATTTTAATTTTTAATTTCAATTGTTAATTGATTGTACATAGAAAAGACGTTTTTTGAATATTAGATTTGTATCCTAGAACTCGATAAATTTGTTTACTAATTCTACAAGTTTGTTTGTAGATTCCTTGGTAAGTTCTGAGTAGTCCATTATGTTCTTTGAAAATAAAAAACTCTTTTGTTACTTCCTCTCTAATCTATTTGGCTTTAATATCTTTTCTTGCCTTATTGCACTAGCTAGGCCCTCAAGCATGATGTCGAATAGGAGTGATAGGAAGAGAGACCCAATGCTTATTTGTGATGTGTGTATGTGTTTTCAGTTTTATTCAACTCAAAATATTTTTTAATTTCCTTGTGCATTCCTCTTTTGCCCATGGGTTTTTATAATTGTAAACCTAAATTTCTAAATATTTGTGGAATTTTCAGTTACTTTTCTTTTCAATGTATTTTTGTCGAGAAAATACTTTGTATAGTTACAATCACTTTAAATATATTATAGCTTGTTATGGCTTAACAAGGTAAACGTTCTATGTGTCCTTGACAATAATTTGCATTTGCTGTTGAGGGTTAAGCTTTTTATAAGAGACAATTAGGTCAAGTTGGTAGATATTGTTGTTCAGGTCTAAAAATCCTTGCTAGTTTTTGATCTCTATTACTTTAATTCCTGCGACAGGAGTGTTGAGGACATTAATAAAATTATAGTTTTGTCTATTCCCCTTTCAGTTTTATTAACTTTTGTTTGATGTATCTTAAAGCCCTGTTGTTATCTATACACACATACACCTTTAGGATTTTTACTAAATTTTGGAGAATTAATCCCCTTTTTCATAATGTAGTGGCTCTCCTTATCTCTGATAATATGTATTGTTTTGAAGCCTAGATCGTCTGACATTCATACAGCTCCTAATAATTTCTCTTTGCCAATGTTCACATGGAATTTTGTTTTCATCCTATATCTTCATGCTTACATAAAGATACATTGCCATGCTACCTGTGTATTTAAAATGAGTTCCTTATAGGTAGTGTATAATTCTTTCTTTTATATCAACTCTAAAATTCTAAAAAAGAATTCTGTATGCCTTTTGATTAGTATTTTTAATGCATCCATTTACCATTGGTTACTGGCTTAGTTTTCATATTTTTTCATATAATAGGTTCCCCATGGTTACAGTATACATGTTTAATTTATCACAGTGTTCCTTCAAAGAGTATTTTACAGCTTGATATACAAGGACCCCAAAACAGTATTCTGCTAATTTCTTCTTTTGTGCTAGTGTTATATATTTTAATTTACATCTGCTATAAATCTTCAGAATATTTCTATTTTGCTTTTGCAGCCAATAAACTTGCAGAATGATTCAAATAAGAAATTTTTTTCTATTTATCTTTCCTTTAACTATTTTGAGAGCAATTTATTTATTTTCATAGATCCAATTTTCCTGCTGCAAAAAGCTTCCTGTTTGAAAAACTTATTTTGGTATTTCTTGTATCATATGTCTGCTTCTAATATTATTTATTTAGATTTTGTGTTTTTTTAGAAATATTTTTCGTCATCACTTTCAAATGGAATTTTTCTGAGTACTGAGTATTCTAGCTTTCCCTGCCCCCTAACTTTATAGAGACCTCACACCGTTTTCTTCTGGCTTGGGTGGCTTCTGAAGATATTTTCTGTAGTATTTAGTATTTCTTCCTCTATATGTAATGCATATTTTGCCCCCTCTGGATGTCCTCCAGATTTTTTCATTATCTTTGGTTTTCATATTTATTTATTTATTATTTATTTATTTATTTTTGAGACAGTGTCTCATTCTGTTGCCCAGGCTGGAGTGCAGTGGTGCGATCTTGGCTCACTGCGACCTCCACCTCCCAGGATGAAGCAATTCTCCTGCCTCAGTCTCCTGAGTAACTGGGAGTACAGGTGTGTGCCACCACGCCTGTCTAATTTTTGTACTTTTACTAGAGATGGGGTTTCACCATGTTGGCCAGGCTGGTCTGAAACTCCTGACCTCAGATGATCTGCCAGCCTTGGCCTCCCAAAGTGCTGGGATTCCAGACATGAGCTACCACATCCAGCCATATCTGGTTTTTATAGTGTGGCTAGAACATGTGTGGGCTTTGTTATCTTGGGGATTCTTGACTCTGTGTTTTGGTGTCTTTTATCATTTGTGGAAAATCTTCCCTTATTCTTTCAGACCCATTCTTATGACTCTTTTTTTTTTATTTTGGATTTCAGTTACTTGAGTGTTTGCTTGTCCCACGGTAATTCATTCCGTAGAGTGCTTTATTCTGAAGAGTTCCCCTTTTCTTCTTCAAATTGGATAATTTTTATTAACTGAATTTTATGTTTGCTGTTTCTTTCCTTGGCCAAGCTGTGTCTACTCATGAGGTGATGAGAGGCATTCTTCATCTCTATTACTCTGTGTGTCTCTCTGTGTATTTCTAATAATCTCATTTGACTTTTTCTTTTAATTTTAATCTCTCCTCTGAAATTTTTAATCTGAGTGCATGTTGCCAGTGTTTTTTCTAAAGCTTAAACATTCTTTCCTTGATAATTCCAACATTTGTTTCTTCTTAAGTCTGATCCTTTTGACTGCTTTGTCTCTTGTCAGGTTTTCTTCCTTGTTTTCTTATTTATCTCCTAACATTTTCTAATTTAAGGCCAGACATCATTGGTAGAACAGTAGAAATGGAGCTAAGAAGTATGTATGCAGGGGCTGGGCGTAGTGGCTCACGCCTATAATCCTAACACTTTGAGAGGCTGAGGCAGATCACCTGTGGTCAGGAGTTCAAGAGCAGCCTGGCCAACATGCTGAAACCCTGTCTCTACTAAAAATACAAAAATTAGCTGGGTGTGGTGGCACCTACCTATAATCCCCACTACCTGGGAGACTGAGGCAGGAGAATCACTTGAACCTGGGAAGTGGAGGCTGCAGTGAGCCCAAATTGTGTGACTTCACTCCAGCCTGGGTGACAAAGCAAAACTCTGTCTCAAAAAAATAAAAATAATAATTTTTTTTAAAAAAAGAAGTATGTATGCCAGAAAACGGTATGCTTTTACTGCTATATTCTTAGTGTAGGATTTGAGTCAATCTAATCAGAAACTGAGCTGATTTAGATTTTGTTACTATGGTTATCTTCAGTGTTCCAGCTACTCAAGTGTGTAGGGTTACCTTGTGCATGAAGTAGGTAGGGTCAGGGGTTCTGGAGTGTTTCTCTGAATATTCCTGCTCTGCCTGCAACGTGGGGCCATCCCTATGCATTGGTGCAATAAAGGGAAACTTTTCCGTCTTGTCCCTTCCCCAGCAGTGGACGGTTTTGCTGTTGCTTGTTATTTTGTGTTTCCTGGCATGGTGATGGAGGTCACAGGATTTTCTCTTGCTCTGGTTTTGCCTCCACTGTAATCAGGCCCTCCGTCTCTAGTATTGCAAGTGTGGGACTCATTAATTCTGCCCCTCCTCTCTGAAGAGCCTAAGCTTGCTTCTATTGTTGTGTCTTGTGTAAGGAAGTTCCTGGCCTCCCCCAGAGACAGGAGACCTCTGATGGTCTTAGTATTTGATGCTGGAGCCTAAGCTGTTTTCTCTCCATCCTTCGGGGATACAGTATTCTTTATTCTCATGCTACTTCCAGCCACAGTGTGCCTTCCTCTATGTTCTCAGGCAGCAGAGTTCACCATCTTCTCCCAATGGCTCACAGCTTTTGCTCTGCAGTCAAGAAGAATCTGAGTGGAGATTTGTGCCTACTTTTCATCAGCAACTGCACCAGGCTTCCAGGCCTGCACCATCATTAGACTCTCTCCAGTCTCCCACCCTGTCTCTGATCCTTCCTGTGAGTACTTGGTGGAGGTTCATGGAGGAGAGTTTTGAGTAGGTGTGAATTCAGCTTGCCCACACCTGTCATCAGCAATCCATCATCATGCTCATCTGAATTCTTCTCCCTGACTTGTAAGGCACCTGAAGTCTCTTTCTCCCATCAGAGAGAAGTGAGCTGCTGGTCAGGTATCATTTCTCCATAGTATGAGGAATGCCATTCCTTGTACTGCATGATACTTGATTGCTCTGTGCACTCAGCTTTTCTGATATGTTCCAAAAAGTTATGATTTTGTGGTTTATGTGTCTTTTTCTTGCTGTTATGGTGAAAGTAATATTCTTACTGGAATTGTAGACCTAGGTGAAAGCACAACTCTCAATTTCCTTTTGTAAACATTTTTTCTGCTTATATTCTGTATCTGTTCACTTATTATGTCCATCTTTTTTTTAAGTCTTTGAATATATTTATAATAAAGTTCTTCTCTCCATTCAGTACCTGATCTTTTAAGAGTTTGCTTCTATTAATATTTTTTTAAAAATTTTGGCTTATGAGTTACATATTTTTGTTTCTTTGAATACATATTTTATTATCATATGGTAGAGATCGTGAATAATAAGTTTTAGCTATGATGTCAAGGTTTGCTGTGGCATGCCTTTAAATTACTAGAGGATTACACTGATCTAGTCCAGCTCAGTTGAATCTGTTACAGCTGTTCAATGTATCTCTTGGCCTTTAGCCTCAGACACCGCTGCTAACCCAGGGCATGGGTACCACTGTTAAAGAGCAGCCTTGTTAGACTGTGTCCCAAATGAACAAGGTTTTCCAACTCCAGTTGATTCAGTTCCATGAGGCTGCTCCCCTCATGCCTCCAGTTCCTTCTGCATGTTTCTGAGCTCCCTCTTAGTGAAGGGCCAATGGGAGACACCCACCTCTGGTCCACTCACACCTACCACATGGCTTCTTCCTCTTCAGCCCCTGCCCTGCACATTTCAGCTGCCTCAGCATCCCTGGGCATGATCTCTGCCTCCGCAGCTCAGGAAAACTCTTAGATCTGCATGGGGCTCATCTCCCTGTTCAGTGGTTTAAAAAATGCCACTAGTCAGAAATTCAGGGCAAAAATGATGCTCATGTTGGGCACATCCCTTTTCTTGAATATCAAAATCCTGCATTGCATGTTATCCAATACATGACAGTCATGGTCTCATAGAATGTGTCTAATTGTAGAGCAGTTTATGGAGGACAAGTAAGTCTAGTACCAGTTATCCCATCATTGCTGGAAAGTGTGCTAGGGTTTACATTATTAAAAAATGACTGGCTGTGGTATGAAAAAGGAACTGTAGATAGTTCGGAATAGAAAGAGGAAGACCAACTAGGAGACTATTGCACTAGGGTAGAAAGAGACCTTTGTACTGGTGTGGCAGCAGGGGATAGCAAGAGAGAGGGAAAGGCTGGAATTTAAATGTGATAAGACATGTTGATGAAATGAATGCTTGGGGGAGAGATGCCTCCTAGATCCTACTTGCTTGAGTCATGGGTTCTCTGTGGCTCATTTTTCTGAGACTAGGAATGTGAAGCAAATAGCTGGTGGTAGTGAATACAAGGGAATCAGAGCTCTGTCTCTACTACTCAGAAATACGAAGCAGGCAGTGGATATGTTAACCCAAAACTTACCAAACAAGGACAGATTGATGCATTTGTTGTCATCAGCCCATCAATGATATTTAAAGTCTTAGAATAGAATGCATCCTAAGGCTTTGTTAGGGTGCACAGAGTGAAGGGCCAGGGCAGAATCTTGAGGCATTATGCTATTGCAGCAGAGGAGAAGGGAAAAAAGAAGAGGAGAGAAGAAAAGAGATGAGAAGATAAATAGAGTAGAAAAGAAGGGGCCAGCGAGGAAGAGGGTGCAGGAGATGAAGAGTGTTGACAAAGCGATGGAAAGGGCGGAGCTGCGTCTGCGAGGAATTTTGAGAGGTGGCACAGATGAGAACAAAAACCAAGGGCTTCATTTGTCAACAGTGGCTGCAGTCTCATGCAGACTCTATGTCAGGTCCATGCAGAGGCCTTTCTGGAGTGGACTGAGAGACAAGGTATTAGGAAGGGGCTCCAATAACCACAGGAAACTCTTTCCAGAAGTGTTGCTCTGAAGGAGCCTGAAAGACGGCATGGAGGGTTTGATGGGCTGTGAGTGTCTTTAATTCTATTTCCTTCCTTGCTTCAGTTGAATGCTACAAACTAAGGCAAAAAGTCGAGGGCTTAAGCTTTTCCCAGAGCCTTTACTGGCCCTGGAACAGAATCCTTACCTGTGAGCTTAGGGAACAGGAGTTAATTTAAATAAGCCAAAATTACATTGGATATGCAGATTTCCTAAATATTAATAAAATATGAAGCAAACTATTCTAATAATATCACTCATAAGAATCTGTGATCATTCATTCTTCCTTATTAAACTTCCACATTTTAGTTTTCTTCTAAACCTGGTTATCTCAGCTTGTTCAGGCTCCTGTGATAAGATTCTAAACTGGGTGGCTTAGAAACAACAGAATTTTACTTCTTACAGTTCTGGACGCTCAGAGGTCCGAGACCAAGGCACTGGCAGCTTCAGTGTCCGGTGGGGCCTCCTCCTCGTTGCAGACGATGTCTTCTCACTGGGTCCCCACAAGCTGGAAGGTGCCGAGGAGCTCCCCTTGGGTTTCTTTTATAAGAGCACTAATTTCATTGATCTAATCACCCCCCAAAGCCCCCACTCCCAATACCATCGAGAGTTAGCATTCAGCATAGGAATCTGGGGAGCACAAATGTTCCGATCATAGCACCCCCTGTTCCTTAAAGCATCCTTTCAGTTCCTGACCTGTGTCTCCTCCTTAGCTTAAAAGATTTACTCTCTTACTATTCAGTCACCTTCCTCCTTCTCCTCTTTATAATGATATTAATAAAAATATGAAGAAAACCGATAATAGCTTTGTTTTAGGTGCTATGTACTATGCCAGGTACTCTACAAATCTCATCTTACTTTTTCTTAAGGCAATAAAGCTTACAAACAATACGTCATTTCCAGAAAGAGAAGTCAGAGAGATGAAGTAGGATAGTAAGAAACAGAAGTGGTAGTTAAGCTCAGCTCTGTCGAAGACAAATCATTTTCTCACATAGAACACTCTGGAAGGTCGGTATTTCCAGGCATTTCTCAAGTATTTTGTTGAATCACTGCCATTGCATCGTTGCTTTTTACTTATCTTTCATTTATTTTTATAAATTCAGTAGGATATTTTCTTTCTGACTTATCAGGAAAATGTGTTCCTCTTTTTACAATTCATAAATCTCTTAAACCCACAAACATTGTGGAGGGAGCAAAAGTTCTTGCTCCGTCAGGCTGGAACTTGGAGGTTGATTCTGGCACCTGCTGGCTCGTGATGTTGTACAAGCAAGTTAACCTGGGACTTCAACCTTCTCATCTCGAATGTGAAGTGAACACTACGGAATTCTTGCATATCTGGGGATTGTTAAGGGAAACAGCCGATCATATGGGTGGCTTGCACGTGGCGCGGGGTGAGTGCCCACGACGTACAGAATTGATGCGTCGATTTAGTCACTCCTCCTCGGGGCTCTCCCACGGAAAACCTTTCTCTGCTGGGATCCCCCGAGCTCCTTCCCCACTGGGTGTTCCTCATACTTGATCTTATTCCGAGTGGCCAAGTGTGCTGCCCGCTCCGGTCAGCCCTCCCTGTGGCCACCTTTCCCTGGTGATCAGAGGCTCTGGGGCTCTGCTCCTCTAGGTGCCCTCGATGCTGGCCTCAGAGCACAGCCCTGTCCTTTCTGTGGTGTCAGCCACTGCTGAGAACCAGGTGGGCTCCAGTGAAGCCGTGAACGATCCTGGCCTCACTCCCTCCGTCACTGCCCTACAGCCTCTTCACACCCTTGTGGCAATTATTTTTCTTCCTTTATAATAAATAAATTGGAAATAATTACATATTCTGTTTCTTCAAATATTAAAGAGAGAACATAGGTGTTGGTGAAGAACCTGATGCATGTCCACAATATTTTCTACGGACCCCTGCAAAGCTCCGAATGTTTGGATTTTAGAGCAATGACACAGTGACCAAAACAGGTGATATAAGATGCCTCCAAAAGGTCTGGAAAAAAGGCACGGAATCAAACACAGTAACATTTCTGCCAGGAAATATGCAGGTATGTGTGCTCAGTGGGAAAAGGCTTTCATAAATAGCTTCATGTTAGTCCAGCACCTTGCTGCTCTCAAATTATGATAAATATTTCCGTTATCAAGGACGGTTAGAGTTGGGCATTAAAGACATGGAATCGTGGTCCCATAGCAGCTCACATTTACAGATATAGATGCTAATACAATGAATTACTATTCGATTGGCATCTAAATTTACCTAAGAGCACAAAACACACACAAAAATTCATAATTAAATGATTACTTCAAAGTAGCTAATGAGAAATACTCATGAACCTATCACACCCATGCACTAGGTGCTTACAATCATTTAAAAGATTAAATAAATATGAATATACACTTATATGTGTATAGTATATATACTAAATTTATATTATATATTGTGTGTTTATATATGATATATACATATAATTTATTTTATCCTATGCATACACAATAGGTGTCCAAAATATATACTATATTATAAACTATATTATTTTACATATTATATATTACAATATACAATAATATATATAATACATGTATATAATATATATGTATAATACATATATAGATTATATGTAAATATTGCATATATGATATATACATATATCATGTGTTATATCTTATGCATATATTAGATATGTATATAATAAAATATATTTCCTATGCATATAGTCTATACTTGTATTATATATTGTATATACAGATATCATATCATACACATATATTATATGTATATGATATGCAGATATATGCTATATGTATATATATATTTATATATGTATAAGGTGTAATAAATAATACATATAATATATGAATATATTGTATATGTATACATAATATATACTTATTTTTCCAAATATATATAATATATGGACATATTGCATATATTATCTAATATATCCATATGTTATATAGAATATACGAATATAGAATATAGAATATGTGAATATAGAATATGTATATTGCATATATGCATTCTATGTATAGAATATGTATAGAATATAGAATTCTATACATATTCTATGTATACAATATAGAATATGTATATATTACATATATAATATATATTATGTGCTATTTCTCTTATTTAAAACTGAGTATCCAATAATAAGGTCATTGAATCTGGTTAATATTAGATTCTTCTGAATAATTAAATAACCAGAACTGTCTTTTTAAGCTGTTAGATCTCACGGAATAAAATTTAATCATTTTTTAATTAAAATACTTTTATGTATGCAACCAAAAACATCCTTTTTTAACAGTTTCTCAATATATTAGTAGGAGACAACATTTGTTGGACTACAACTAGTTGAAACCACCTTCTGAGTAAAAGCGTTCTTTGCAGTGCAGAAAGAATTAGAATAAGGTCTTAGCCACGGTTGGTCCTCTTTCGATGCTTTACCTTACACTCTGTTTTCACTATCAGTGACAGGACTGTTAAGTATTTATTTACTTTTAGTCTGGTCTAGTGATTTGCTCTATAAACACAACCTCGATCCATTGCCACGTTTTTGTAAGATTTGAAGAATTCAAAGGAGAAAGGAAGAGAACTGTTCTCTTGTAAATAAAATTAAGCAGACACAGATTCTCTTCTGTAATGAAACTGCATGCCAAGTCAATCTCATGCCACATTTTCATTTAAAAAGCAATATTTCCCTAAATCTGTTTAATCTTCAATTAATTATTGAGAGAGACTTGCAGAGGTTCAACCACTCACTCACTTACTATCTACAAGATGCCTGGTTTACATGATCCTGGGGATGACATCTCACAGATTATTAATTAATTTAAAACTTTTTGAAATTAGAAGAAATGTTTCATCATCTTCACCCATGTGGAAACTAAACTGAATACTCAGAATCTCAAAAAATATCATTGTTGCCCAACACATAGGCACACACAGCAGCCAATGAGTCCTGACCCCCGTGCCTTTGTAGAGTGAAACATCTTGCGTTCTTCTGAAAATCTCTCCAGATGCTTTAGAAAGCAATCTAAACAGTAGTTTGGGAGAATACAATTCCCTGATCATTTTAAACTTCTGAAATTCTACATAATTACTAAACAATCTCATTGTGCTTGAAAATACAGTGATCTCCTGTGAAAATATTGATTTTTGACTTTTGTGACATATTAGTCAGGTTCATGAAAAAGTGAAGTACCAAGGGCTGCCTTCAGGAGAACATATTTCATTTTATCCTTTTAAAAATGTATTTGATATTATTTTGTTCACAAAGTGTTCCCTCTTACTCTCTGTTAATTATTTCCTTACTATTTAATTGCAACAGTCTTGTTTCAGTTGAGTTGCTGGTTTGCCTCTGTCTCCACAGTAATGACAACAGAGCCCCACATTACTTCCTCTTTTGGTAAGGCTTAAAGGAAGCTCATTAACACTTAGGAAAATAAAATGATGATCTTTGTAAGTAGTAAATGAACTATTTTTATACACTGGTTCCTCTGTTCTATCTGTACAGTTATGAATCTGTATCATACAAGGGCATTTTTTTTATAAGTCAACTTTCCATGTTCCCCTTTTGCCAAACTCTTTTTCAAGTGTCTGCTAAAGTCAAGGTCTATGATAAAACAACATCCACATACTCTCAGTTTAGTGTGGGGAAAAGGATCATGGACTCTGAGATTGATTTTTACTTCCTCAGAGGCCAAGGCAATGAAGGATGTTTCCAAAGGGTATGCCCAGACCTCAAAGGGCAGGGAGACACCTGCCCTATGGATGATAATCTTCATCCTTTAATTCCCACAGCTCTAGGCCAGAAGTCTTTCCTGAATTCAGACAAGTGTAGCAACTGTTTCACAGGCTTTTCAAACTCATGACTTTTAAAACCAAAAATAGCATCCTATGCTAAAGCTGAGGCTTATAAAGTGAAATACTGTCATACAGCAATTAGTACTAAATGTCACATAGGTAAATGGAAGCTAAAGTGAAAATAATGATAATAAGTGGCAGGAATGCCATCATCATCATCATCATCTTCATCATCATTATAAATCACAATAGTCGTGAATAATGACGTCAACACCTGGGCGTTGATGACGTGCTAGAACACCTTGATGGTGGAAGAAATACAGTGATGATAGAGAGAGAAATCTTCAGAAGAAAGTTCTACTTTCCAAAGGTTCTACTTACCAGACCCTTTTCCCAGAGCTGCAGAAGAAGGTCATTCTTCCCACCCAGCCCCCTCTGGCCATCTTATCACCCAGGAGGTGAGCCACACCACCAGAGACGCATTTATGAAGGCCACATCTCAGAGACATAGCCGCAACAAAACACCAAGATTTAATAAAAGGAATATAAAATCCTCTACACCAAGTCACACCTTAACATCACACTAACAGGATTTCAATGTAATAATGTGACTTACAGCTGAAAGATCTAAGAAAAACAGACGTCTCTGTGGAGAAGCAAGTAGGGAAGCCCAAGGCAAAGAAGAGAGACAAAGTCAAGGGCACAGGGAGAATTCCAAGCCTCTGCCACCTGCAGCCAACAATAAATGCAGCTTAACTCTTAACAGGCATTTTCACACTAACTGCCAATTCCTGTTTCATGATACAACATGTTTGCCTTTGCACAACCAAAAATTAAAAAAAAAAAGTCAGGCATGCCACAAAGCAAGAAAAAACATGTTCCAAAGAGACAAAACAATGATCAGAACCAGACTCAGGTATGACACAGTTTTTTGAACTATAAATGAATTTAAAATAAATATGATTAATGTTCTAAAGAGTGAAATGAAAAAAGTAGACGACATGCAAGGACCAAAAGCTAATGTAAACAGAGAACTGGAAACAAAAAGAAAGAATCAAGGAACTGTAGAAATAGAAAACTCTGTAACAGAAACAACAAATGCCTTAAACTGATTCATTAGTAGATTAAATACAATGAAGGCAAGAATCAGCGAAGTTGATTATAGGTCAAATGAAACTTCCCAAGCTGAAATGCAGTAAGCAAAAGGAAAATAATAACTAAAGAAAAAGAAGGAAATGTCCCAAAAATGTAAAACAATTTCAAAATACTTAATGTACACATAATTGATTTATCAGAAAGAGAGAAGACAGCAAAAGACATATGTTTGAATACTGATGGCAGATAACTTCTCAAATTAATGGCAGACACAAACCACTTATCCAAGAAGCTCAGAGAAAACTAAGACAAAAAAAAACAAAAAATAAATAAAAAAGCAGGAAAAATATTTTACCTAATCATATCATATTTGAACTGAAAAAAAAAAGAGAAAATCTTTAAGAAATATCAGAGGACAGGCAGGGCATGGTGCTTCATGCCTGCAATCGCAGCACTTTGGGAGGCCAAGGCGGATGGATCACCGGAAGTCAAGCATTTAAGACCAGCCTGGCCAACATGGCGAAACCCCGTCTCTACTAAAAATACAAAAAAAGTAGCGGGGCATGGTGACAGGCGCCTACAATCCCAGCTACTTGGGAAGCTGAGGCAGGACAATGACTTGAACCTGGGAGGCGGAGGTTGCAGTGAACCACTGCACTCCAGCCTGGGTGACAGAGCAAGACTCTGTCTCAAAAAAAAAAACAGAGGACAAAAACCACTTATCCATAGAGGAATAAGAGTCAGAATTACAATTAAACAGTAGACCAACGGTCTGGACCCAAAGCTCACGAAAAGAAAATATAAGAGTGGGAAGTAACTATGTGGAAAGGTGTTTCACATCATTTTCATTAGGGAATTTCAAATCAAAACAAGATACTACTACACACCTATTTGGACAGCTAAAATCTCAAGATGGAAAATGCCAATTGCTTGTGAGGATGACAAACCACAGGAAATGACCAATAATTGCAGGCAGGAATTAAAATGGTCACAGCCATTATAGAAGGCAGTCTGGTAGTTTCTTACAAACCAAGACAATTGTACCACGGAGGTGTTTATCCAACTGATTTGAGAATGTAGGTCCACACAAACCCAATATCTAAAGGTCTAAACCAGCTTTAATAAAGGTCTCCCCAAACCAAATGTTATTGAATGGTTGAATATATAAACAAACAATGGTATATCCATGCAATTAAATATTATTCGGCAACAAAATAAGAAACAAAGTTTTAGGAATTTCTCCTGTTAATTGTTTTCTAGCTTTATATTATTGTGGTCAGAAAAGATATTCAATATTCTTTCAATGTTCTTAAATTTGTTAAGACTTATTTTATGGCCTAATATATGATCTATCCTGGAGAATATGCTATGTGCAGTTGAGAAGAATGTGTATTATGCAGCCATTGGATGGAATATTCTGTAAATATCCGTTAGATTAATTTGGTCTAGAATGCAGTTTGAATCCAGTATTTCTTTGTGCATTTTCTGTTTAGATGATCTGTTGATTGCTATGAGTAAGGTGTTGAGCCCCTTACTATGATTGTATTGCAGTCTTCCCTTTTAGATCTATTAATATTTATTAATATTAATATCTATTGATATTAGCTTTATGAATTTAGGTGCTTTATTATTGGCTGCAAATATATTTATTACTATATTCTGTTGCTGCATTGACACCTTTATCCTTATGTGATGACTTTCTTTGTCTCCTTTTAGAGCTTTTAATTTAAAGTTTACTTTTTCTGCGATAAGAATAGCTACTCCTGCTCTCTGTGGGTTTCCATTTTTGTGGAATATCTTCTTCCTTTCCTTCACTTTCATTCTACCTGTATCCTTCCTGGTGAAGTGAGTCTCTTGTAGTCAGCATAGGGTTGAGTCTTCTTTATTTCTGAGATAGGAATGTGTCACATTTTCTCAATTTATGAAACATTTCTCAAAACTTAAGAAAAAAGAAACAATAAAGCAAAAGATAGAAGAGGAGGATGTGTTAAATGGAAAAAAAAAGATTTGAAGAAGTAGTTTAAAAAAGTTTTGTAGAAAAAACAAATATTTTAAATGACATTTTGCACAAGCAGTAAGACAGACCCAAGGGAGTCCAGAAGGTTTCTATGGCCAAAGCTATTGTTTATTTTTCTGTGTTTCAAGAGCATATTAAACAAACGTTGTGAAGATATTAATATAGCATACTTATACAGTCTAATTTTTTCTTCCATTTTATTTTCCACACAAAAATGTACAATTACTATCTGTGCTAGCATGGTATTAAGCACTGGAAATAGTGATGACTAATAGATGTAGCCCACCCTCACAGGGTATATAGTTGTATATACATTTATATAACCACTATGTTATCCCAATTATATTGCTTATTATATTTTTTATGTCTTTTAAGGTAACACGAAATACAGGCAGCTCTCCTTCTGAGTGCTTGTTAAGATGGGATTTGTCTGCTCTGTTAGAGACATGTGCAGTCATATGACTTTTCTCATCTGGGAAAATATGGAAGAGTTGGAAAATTGAGGAGCAGTGTACAGTTGGGTGTCTAGTAGGTGCCTGTGAGGGACATGTAGAGTAAGTGAAAATAAACCTTTGGGCTTCCATGCAGTGAGACTTTAGTGTACTTATTGCAACCCATCCAAAGTTATCCTGGTGGATACAGAGTTTACGTTAGGCTTATGGTTGCATAGAAGCATGACATATTTGTAAATATCTTGTATTACCCCATTACTCTACAAATGAAAAAAAAAACTGAGTCACAAAAAATGTAAGTAATTTTCACTAATTTGAAATTTTTTTGACACTTAGGATTGGAATTTTACTCTTCTGACTGTCATCCTGGCTTGCTTACTTCTTGGTGATGCTTCCCTTTTCTACTCTTATATTGGCAGGAAGTTATAACAAGTGACACAGCCAGGCTGTTCTTCTAATGTCCCATCTCCTTCTGCATATTTCCCAGCTTTACTGGATTAGACGAGGCCATTTGACTAGTTTTATCCAGTGGATGGTAGACATAGCACTACGTGTTCTTCCCAACTATCTTTCCATGTTTTGATGACCAATTTGCAGCCAAAGAAAGTGGAGTGTCTGTTAGCCTGGGTCCCTCAAAGACTTGTGGAGCAGCCTGTCTGGTGGACACACATGAGCCGTGTCTGAGTGAGGTGCACGCCTCCACTGTGTGCAGCCATGATGGCCAGGCATTCATTTGTCACTGCAGCTTAACCTAGTCTTACCTGACACATCCATTGTGTACGGGTAGGTGTCTGTGAGTCTGTGTGTATCTGTGTGGCCGTGCATGTGTGCCTGTGTGTGTTGGGGGTGGGGGTGCAGACAAACATCTCTAGGTTGCAGGGTTGAAGGTTCAAAGTTGAAGGGTTACACCAAGAATCAACCTCTCTGCAACCCACTCGACAGATAGAGATTATATCCATTGGAATGGTTCATTGGAATGGTTTTCACAGCTTTTTGGCCACTTGTTACTATGGTTTCTTAAGTTAAAAAATTTTAATAAAAGATATGTTTAAAAGCTCTTTATAATAGTTAATTATAGGGCAGAGTGCAGTGTCTCGTGCCTGTAATCCCAAAACTTTGGGAGGCCGAGGTGGGCAGATCGTTTTGAGCTAAGGAGTAGGAAACCAGTCTGGGCAACATGGCAAGACATCTGTCTCTACAAAAAATATAAATAAATAAATAAATTAGCCGGGTGTGGTGGCTCTTGCCTGTGCTACCAGCTACACAGAAGGCTAAGGTGGGAGGATGACCTAAGACCCGGAGGCAGAGGTTACAGTGAACCAAGATAGTGCCACTGGACTCCAGCCTGGGTGACAGAGCAAGACCCTGTCTCAAAAAAAAAAAAAAAAAAAAAAAGAGTTATTGGAACAAACATAGTCTTTATTACAGCAAATATCTGATTATTTAGCCAAATAAACAGAGTTTTTAAAATGTAATTTATTTTATTTAATTCTCTTTCTCTATAACTAGCAAAATGTTGTAGGTGAGAGCAGGTGAGCCAGGGTTCAGGTCCCAGTTTTTCAACACTTTGCAAGTTACAGGATACACATATATTGATAGTTCACAGTCCCAGGAAGGGTGTACAAATACCACGCATGGTCAGGCAGCGTCAGAGGAACCAGGGGAGCATTGTAGGCCAATGTCATGGAGGCGTTCACAGAAAAAGTAGGTGTTAAAATTTCTTATAGCTCCACCTGGCTGTGATATGATTTGTCTCTCAATGACCAACTTAGTTAAAAAAAAAACAAAACAAACAAACAAACAAAAAACTCAGAGTTTCAGCACAAAAAGTGAAAAGAAAACTCAACAGAGTGTTTCTGTAGACTCTATGGATCTCTACAGAGTTAAAATCCATATTTAGGTTTCTCCTAAATCTAGGATGGGGCCACAGTTCAATACCCCTTAGCGATGATTGTCATTGTTGAAGTGACTGTGAGCTGCAATCTTTGTAGGAAGTTTATAAAGTCAATAGACATTCCATTGAACTTTATGCTCTTCAGATTATCCCAATACATTGCAGTAGACTAGCTATGGAGACCTATTTTCTAGTCTCCACTGAGCAACCACTGACAGATAGTTAGAATGCTTTATAGGCTTCAGCAGACTTTTCAGTGAAAAAACCATTTTTTTTTTGCTTTCTGTTTGCTTTGAGACCAACTTGACATATTTCATTTCCAAATGTTTCACTTACGTTTTTACTGACACTTATAATTTACAAATGATTGTTTCCATTCAAAAGTAGTAGAAGTTAGATAATAATGTTAACACATTGTACTGTCTCTGCAATTCATTCTAGTTTCACAAATCAGTATTTATCTTCTGCTGTATTTGCAGATATATATTTTGTCATAAATGCTAATTGGAAATGTCAGGATTTTTCAATCTAATTAGGATAATTGGCTAGACAAGAGGATCAGAAGTATTTATTTTTAATATAAATTCATTTTTATGATTGCCAAACAGGCTACCGTTGGTTATGTTTCCTAGGTTACCATGAGCATGGTGGTTGTCAGGCCTTTGCATCTCTTGACATAGGAAAGCATCTGTAAAAACAAAACTCTTAAGAAAAATGTCAGGCACTTGTCAAAGAATTTTCTTTTTCTTTTTTGTTTCATTGGCTCAAAAAATTTTTTGTAAACTTGGACTAAAGATTTTCACACTGCCATTGTAAATTCAGTCATGCTTGAGTCAATTCCTGTTCAAACTCTTCTCTGATAGTTCTTAAATTTGACTGTCAGAAAGACAAAGTCAGCGCCCACTGACCTCCAATGAGCAGGCAGCAGTAGAAAGGATGGACATCACATGTGTGTTTTATTTGGGGGAGATGCAAAATAAATCAGGTGGATAGTATTAAAGATAAGCAATCTTTGGAGAATTATGTTGCAAAATTTCCAATAATGTAACAAAGTCACTAGGAAATATTTCTGCAAAAATAATGCATTCTCACATTCAAAGCTAAACTGGCGTTGGCTGATGTGACTGTTTGCTCCATCCCTGTGACAAGATTCTGCACCCACCACCATCCTTGGATGTGCAGCTGCCCCTGCTAGGTGGAGGGAGTCTGCCTCTTCCATCGTCAGCCTGGTGAGTGACTGATTTGAGTCATTGTGACAGTCTTCTTATCGGAGCAGGAGCTCTAAGTAGAGATGTCTGCTTTGGCTTGACCTTTTGCCTTTGCCCTTTGCCATGAGAACAGTGTGTTCTGAAAAAAGGGTGCTCCGCACGTGCTCTAGGATGAGACAGCCCTCAGGGCAGAATGGCCACCTGGAGCAAAGCTGCAGGGTCGCTGACCTGTAGCCATGGGTGATGTGAGTCAGACGTGCCTATCACCTGTGGTAAGCCACGAAGATGTGGGGATGGTTTCTGACCTTGGCGAAGCTGACTGATCTTGTCCAAAAGCCTTCAGAAATGCCTGCTTCTCTTTTCTGTGGTCCCACCTGCAGGTACAGAGCCCATCATGACTTCTTCCAGAGGGCTTGCTTTCTGATGATGTTAGAAGATCCTCCACTTTGAATCCTTCCCATGATCAAACCTCAGCTCAAGTCCCATGCTCCCAGGCAAAGTTCTCTGCCCGTTTGTAATTTAAAAGAAAAAGAACTTGATTAAGATTCCAGGGCCAGGGTTGGAGTCTAATTCTCCATTCTACCTTGGGACAGTTTCACCAGCGTTTGGGATCTTTGTCCCCAAATTGTGTGAAGTTAAACAGGATCCTCTGTTTGCTTCTCCATGTGAATTTTCCCAGCTCTTATTAGTTTTCCTTCTTCCAACTCTTACTTAGTTGTTCTCACCTTTAATACCATAATTAGAAAAATGCAAACCTAAATGACAGAATTCCATTTCTATTATTTCCATTGTATTAGGCTGTTTTTCAAGGAAAGATGTAAATTCCTTAGCCATGATGACTTTATTATTTGTCCTTTTTATTGTCCTTTTTATTATTTGTCCTTTTCAAGTACAGAGGATCCATTTGATATCTGAATTAATCAATGGATGAGAAGTTTGAGGTAAATAAAGTGCAAATAGTAAATGAAGACATTAGCTGAGGCAGACTTCTCTGATTATTTTGTTGACCACTTCTTGGTACCTTGCTGAGAAGAGAACCATCAGCAACTTGTTCTCAAAAGCCGTAAGATTTAACTGAAGGCAAAGAGGGCAGGGGAGGGAAGGCTCGCCAGGGGCCTATAGCACCTTCAAGGAGCAAAAACCCCCTGACTTTATAAAAGAAAGGAAGAGAAAGCAAAGCAGAGTAACTTTGGGTTGGAAGGTTGGGATGGAACTGGCTTCACTACTTTGCTAAAGACCTGCCACAGGTTTGTAACTGCAATATATTTGGGAATATATGTCGCTGTTTCCATTAAGCTGTCCTTGGCGCAGTTCGACAACGGGTCCAGATATTCAGATTAGCAATCATTAAATAACTTGTCTTATCAGGAAACAAAGCTCACTTCTCCAAGTTTGGCTTTTGTTTGCAGACAGCTATATACCAGTTGAGGTTGAGCTCGTATCCATTGCCATTTTCCACTAGTAGCTCATCATTTAAGGAAAGCTGAATGTTGTAGATTTGGGTGATTACCACGGGTTGCATTGTTTCCATCATTGTACTTGCAATTTTTGTGTGTGTGTGTGTGTGTTTTGCTTCTTACCATAGTTTTTGCTTTTTTTTTTTTTATTATACTTTAAGTTTTAGGCTACATGTGCACATTGTGCAGGTTAGTTACATATGTATACATGTGCCATGCTGGTGCACTGCACCCACTAACTCGTCATCTAGCATTAGGTATATCTCCCAATGCTATCCCTCCCCCCTCCCCCCACCCCACAACAGTCCCCAGAGTGTGATATTCCCCTTCCTGTGTCCATGTGATCTCATTGTTCAATTCCCACCTATGAGTGAGAATATGCGGTGTTTGGTTTTTTGTTCTTGCGATAGTTTACTGAGAATGATGCTTTCCAATTTCATCCATGTCCCTACAAAGGACATGAACTCATCATTTTTTATGGCTGCATAGTATTCCATGGTGTATATGTGCCACATTTTCTTAATCCAGTCTATCATTGTTGGACATTTGGGTTGGTTCCAAGTCTTTGCTATTGTGAATAATGCCGCAATAAACATACGTGTGCATGTGTCTTTATAGCAGCATGATTTAGAGTTCTTTGGGTATATACCCAGTAATGGGATGGCTGGGTCAAATGGTATTTCTAGTTCTAGATCCCTGAGGAATCGCCACACTGACTTCCACAATGATTGAACTAGTTTACAGTCCCACCAACAGTGTAAAAGTGTTCCTATTTCTCCACATCCTCTCCAGCACCTGTTGTTTCCTGACTTTTTAATGATTGCCATTCTAACTGCTGTGAGATGGTATCTCATTGTGGTTTTGATTTGCATTTCTCTGATGGCCAGTGATGATGAGCATTTTTTCATGTGTTTTTTGGCTGCATAAATGTCTTCTTTTGAGAAGTGTCTGTTCATGTCCTTTGCCCACTTTTTGATGGAGTTGTTTGTTTTTTTCTTGTAAATTTGTTTGAGTTCATTGTAGATTCTGGATATTAGCCCTTTGTCAGATGAGTAGGTTGCGAAAATTTTCTCCCATTTTGTAGGTTGCCTGTTCACTCTGATGGTAGTTTCTTTTGCTGTGCAGAAGCTCTTTAGTTTAATTAGATCCATTTGTCAGCAATTTTTTTATATATAGCACAACGTTTGGCAATGGACAGTATGGAGTAACTCCAGGAAATAGCATCTTTCCCCTGAAAAGCGAATAGTCTGAAATCAAAAGGACTAGACAATAATGAGCCCAAAGAGGCCTGTGGGTGGATGTTATTTGTGCTCTACTATTATACGAAGGGGCATAAAAAGAAATTTGGAAAAACAGGTGTACAAATGTCCCACCAACATTTGTTTCCATAGAGGACAGGTGGAAAGAATATATTAACGTTGGAGAGAGGAAGTCCAGGGGCCTCTGGAAGTGCCTGATAATGCAGATGCCTTGAAATATCACTAGTAACTAGATGACAGCGAATGCACTTAGGAATGAACACAAAAGGGCCCTCTGGGATGGTAGGGCAGGGCCTGGAGAAGGCACCTGCTGGCCCCTCAGTGCTAAGTGGGAAGCACAGAGAGAGGAGGAGGTGAGGTCCCTGGGAGATCCACATCCACGATCCATAAACTGTTCAGAGGCAATCTCAGGCAATGACATGGAACTGTTTATCCTTCCAGCTAGAAGGAAGCTACTGGATTCACGGTTTGTGACTGCAGATGAGAAGAATCCTGATTTCAACTTCCTGAAATCCATGTTACTGAGATTTATCTCAAATACTTCAGTTTCGCCATTGGAGACAAAAGGTTAAAGTTAAGAGGCCACTTGAAGTGGTGTGATGGACTACTTTTAATGGGTGGAGTAGATGAAAACGCAGGAAGCCCCAGTCCTGCACTTGGTGGATAAACAGAACACCCTAGTAAAGCCAGGCAGGTTATCATTGTGAGTTCTGGGAGACGCTTTACCTGCGGCCTGAAGGGCACCAGTGGAATCTTTATCCATAGGTACTTAAGTCACATGCTGCTTTAAAATGTCGCAATTTCTATAACGTTACTTCTTTACAAGAAATTCAAATAAAAGGGCATGCTACACAAAAGATATGTTGGTCAGGTTATCCCTCTATCTGAAATTTCTGCAGTGTTAGAAAAGTCAATTATGAAACTAGAGCAAGCCGTAACTATTTAATATCCACAAGGCCATGTGAGTGTTTGGGACCCTCTCGAACAAAGGTTGTAAATAAACAGTGTGTTAGGAAAGGAAAGACTTGGTAAGGGTGAAAGAAGAAACAATTGCTTTTAGGAAATAAGTAGGAAACCTTAAAAAAGGTGATCTTGGTGATAGAAAGAGCAAGTTTTTGTCTGCCCAGAAATCTACACACAGGACAAATTCCTAATAAAACAGGCCTCTGGAAGTCATGGTGTGAAATGTCATTTCTATATTATGTGTCACCATAAGTCACTTGGGGGTAGGTGGGCAATTGGCGAATGTGCTCAGGAGAAAAGATCGTTGATTGAGTGTTATATGTAGGTATAGAAATTAGCATTTTATTTTTCTTCTAAAGAAAGAGGGAGGCATTTTTGACAGAAAATTTAACAGGTAAAATGCATTTAAAGAGAAGTGAATGTTCCTCTTTCTTTAAAATAAATAGACTCTTTTTTCTGAGGTTTTGAGACAATGCAAATGAATATGTAAGAAGTACCCATACCAATTACTGTTTCACACTAATTATATTTGCATTAAAAATGTTGGTTACCTTTAAAAATAAAGAAACAAGTCATCCTGGAAATAATACATAGTTAGCAGTGCTCTGGGCAGAAATGTTGGCACATCCAAGCATGAGAATACAATCTGTCTTTCTTGTGTTTCTGCAGAGCAACAGAACGGCCTCTGACAGTGTTAAAAGACCCTTGCTAGAGAAGGTTTCTCCACCTTCGTCTTTAAACAGTTTCTTGGCAGGTTTGAGTTTCTGGCTGAGCGGTTCTGCTACTGTGGTTCCCAGTCAGTATTTGTTATCGAGTTCCGCTGTCTCGCACATCAGAACCAGGATATTTTATGAGTCTCATATTTGTCACTTTATGTTTTAGAAGTTCAGAAATGTTAGCAGGTCAATAAATCTTTTCTAAAAGGAAAGGAATATTAGATTTTTTTCTGTCTCGCCTACTGGTAAGAGAAACTACTTCTAAGCTTTTTTTTTTTTAAAGAAAAGAAGTTGAAAATCATTTTCTTATGCCATTACCTGAAATACCATCCAGAGTTACATGATTACATAGTGTCTAGAAAAATGTAGTGCATATGTGAATAATGTGAGGATATCTGGGCTTGAGAAGTATCGGCTTTGAATTTCCTCAAAATTCCTGGCATTGTGCAGAGCGTAGCGCTTAAGGCACACTCCTGTATTTCATTTGAGCAGCATTCAAAGTCTCTGCCTTTCCTAGCTGCTTGCATTGCTGAGAAATAAAATCCCAATCCACGTTTACCGCATCCATCAATCCATCGAGTAAAACAAATACCACGGCCTTTGTAACAACTTAAAGCACAGACATTTATGAACGCTGGGTCATTTCCTGTTTTCTGCACCCTCTGATCAGTGCCCCGGCCCCCAGGGTCTCGGCTATAATGTGTACTTTGTCCAGTCCCTGGCACCAGTGCCATAGAGGAGACACCCATCATATTTTAGCTTTCTCAAGAAGAAAAATGCCAAAACTGGAACAAAAAGGATACAGTTTAAACTATTTAGAATAAAAGATATTTTAGAGCTTTAAAAACCCATAGTCTTGGAACTGTATTTAGTGTATTAAAAGTAGTAAACATTGAAGAGTTACTGCCAACCATGGTAATCAATACAGTGTGACATTAGTGAAAGAAAGAACAAATGGATCAAGGGAACAGAACACAGAGCTCAGAAACAGACCCACCCAGATGCAGTCAACCCATCTTTGACAAAGGGGCAAAGGCAACTCAGTAGAGAAAAGATCATTTTTCAACAAATGGTGCTGGAACAACCAGACATCCACAGGCAAAGAAAGTGTGTGGGGGGGGGCAGGATCTAGACACAGACCTTACACCCATCACAAAACTTTACTCAAAATGGATCCTAGACATAACCACAAAAGGCAAACTCTAAACTGGAAGATATCAGAGGGGAAAATCTTGGCCACCTTGGGCACAACCATGATGTTTTAGATAAAACACCAAAGGCACAGTCCGTGAAAGGACTGATTAGCTGAACTTCAAACAAATTAACAACTTCTGCTCTGTGAAAAACACTGCCAAGACAAGCCACTCACTGGGAGGATATATTTGCAAAATACACATCTGATAAAGGACTGTTATCCAAAATATATACAAAGAAGTCCTAAAACTCAACAATAAGAAAACAAACAACCGGATTAAAAAATGCGCCAAGGACCTGAACAGACACCTCATCAAAGAACATCTACAGCTGGCAAACACGCATAGGAGAAGATGCTCCACGTCATAGGTCCTCAGGGAAATGGAAGTTAAAACAATAAGACTCGACTGCACACTCAGTGGAATGGCCGAAACCCACTGACAACACCAACATGCTGGAGAGGATGTGGAGCAACAGGGACTCTCATCTTTTACTGGTGGAATTGCAAAATGGTACAGCCACTGTGGAGACAGCTTGCAATTTCCTACCCAATTAAACATATGCTTACCATACTATCCAGTAATCACACTCCTTGGTATTTATCAGCGTTAAAATATGTCCAGATAAAAACCTATCCACAGATGTTTATAGCAGCCTTACTCATAACTTCCAAAACTTGGGAGCAACCAAGATGTCCTTCAGTGACATGGATAAATAAACGGCGGTACATCCAGATGATGGAATATTATACACTGCTGAAAAAAGGAAGTGAACTATCATCATGCAAAAACATGGAGTAACATTCAATGCATATTGCCAGGTTAAAGAAGCCAATCTGAAAAGGCTATATACTGTGTCATTCAACTCAGCAACATTTTGGAAATGGCAAAACTATAAAGGTAGTAAAAAGACCAGTGGTCGCCCTGGGTTAGGGGAAGCCAGGGATGAGCAAGCTGAGCACAGCGGATTTGGGGGATCTGGGGGCTGGTGAAACTACTCTATGATGCTGCAATGGTGACTCCATGTCATTATACATCTGTTCAAACCCACAAAGTGTACAATACCCAGAGCGAGCCCTCAGTTGCACTGTGGACTCTATGTAACAGTGATATGTCCATGTAGGTTCATCCATTGTAACAAATGCACCCTCCAGGGGAGGTGCTGATGGCGGGAGCATGTCCATGTGTGGGAGCTGGGGAATATATGAGAACTTCCTGTACCTTTTTCTCAATTTTGCTGGGAATTGAAAACTGTTCTAAAAGTTAAACTTTTTTAAAGAAAAGGTAATATACATAGCTATGATTGCACCACTGAACTCCAGCTTGGGCAGCAGAGCAAGACACCATACCTAAACAAACAGAAAAACAAGTAGAAAACATAAAGTTCATTATTTTATCCCTTTTCAGTTCTTACTTTCTTCATCTAGTCTTTACTGGACAGGAGACCTCTAGGCAGGCTGGAGCAGAGTTTCTCCGGAACAGGCGCTAACAACACCTGCCCCTGAGAACCAGTGTTCTCACTACCCAGGGAGGTTGCCTAGAGGGTGAATCCGATTTTAGAACTGCATGGCACCTGATTAGTAATGGAACAAAAACTGGAGAAATGCCTTGAGCTACCAGATCGTACCCTTAAAGCACCATGACTTCCAGGCTGTAAATCACTGGCTGAACTGCTTTAGGCCTCTCCTGGGAAAAACTGTCAGGAACGCTGGCCTCTCCTCAATTTCTCCAAAGCATGTTTGCCTGAGGTGAGATGCAGACAGAAGCTACATGTGGGTGCAGGTGGTTGGGAATCGCACTTGCGAATCCTCTTTCCATTAGCTAGAACGCTACCATGACGTGCTACAGGAATGACCACCTAGGATACAGTACGTGTTGGCATATTCCCCAAACAGCAGGAGGATAAATTTTCCCAACTTCATAACTGTTTTTTAGATGCCTTTGAGGGGAGAATGATGAGTGAAGACTTAGGTGTGTGGGCGCAGACTCCTCACAATTGAGGATAAAAATAATTTTTTTAACCTGAGAAATTGTGACTATGATGAAAGTCAGAGTTTGTAAATCTATTTGAAAAGAAAAATAAAGGATTAAAAGATGGATAGAGATTATAGATGATTTAGGCATTTATTGTCATTCTTTTACATTTAATATATTTTATTTTATTATTTTGGGTACTTCCCACAATAGCTATGCTTTTAATAATCAGGGAAAATAATAATTTTATATACATATATATACACACACATTTTTACATATAAAATGTTATTCTATAATGTTCTTTTATAAAATCTTTAAAGATAAAATGCTCTTTTATTGATATAAAATGTGCATATACATTCATTGTATAAATAACATATAGTTATGGACATATAGGAATAATTATGTTAATGGAAAAACATTTATATATAAACATTGAAACTGTGGATTTAGAGTAAGCCTCTAATGCTACAACAGCATATCATTTCTTAATGAATATAATCTTCCTAAGATGTACAGAATTCCAAGATAATTTAGATTATTTAAATTTTAATGTTATATTAATACAGTCAGCACATTCTTTTTTAAAGGATCCAGTATGTGTGAGTTTCTTTAGGTTTTGCATTAAGTTTTTTGCTGGGAATACTTTTGAAAGCGTTTCTGACATCATACATGTTTTATAATTTTGTGACTCTGGTTATAAAATGGTAAACTGGGATTATAAACCTAGGTATGTTAATTACATGCCCGCATTTATTATTGGAATCTGACTTCTATATTACTACAAGATAAACCCCTATAACTTAGAGATATTTACTGGAAAGGTCATAATTGGATGAAATCAAAATGACTTTATTCTACCTGTAGTATTCAGTAGAAAAAAAGGAATATTAGGTCAAATAATACATGACCATTGGAACTTAAGATTTATAAAAAAATAATAGACCCAAAAGTCAGGAAGGCCACAGGGCAGGCCTGCTTTGTGAGTGAAGCCGGAAAATCCCCCACACCAGTGTGGGCTGCTCTGGAAGAGCCTTGCGGGACACCTCCCAGGGATCCATTTCACACAGCGACATAGAGAGAGTTCTGTGAGGAGAGGGAGATGCCGGCATAATTCACCAGGAAATAATTGACCCAACATAAAATCGTAATCCATACCATTTTCATTCCAAATAATTACCTCTTTATTTTTCAATGCCTATGTGGGAGAAACGGCTGGCTGGCCACCAGAATTCTATCATTCTTTTCCATCCAGAGAATTCTTGCTGAGCTGAGGTTGCCCCTGGGGGGTGGCATGGCTCCCGCCACTCCTGGCTAGGAGCCTGCGCAGTGCTCCTGGAGGAGCGAAGGGATGAGAACCTTCTCTAGGTCTGGCTTATTGGATTCCTCAGTGCTCTCTTTTCCTCCTCTGCTGGCTGAATGTGGTTGACCAGATGAGCCTCAACCCTGCAGTAAAATCACAGAACTGCCCTCAGCAGGGGCTTCCCGATGGCTCCATGGAGCACACACCCCTTGCCCAAAGCCATCAGTAGGACTTTACTAACCGATATTAACAACTTTATATTTCAGGGTTTCTTTATGACAGCAGGTCAATTACATTAATTCATATGAAACTGGTCCTGGAAGTAGGGTGCTACTGTAAGACAACCTAACATATGTGATGTTGGTTAGTCCTGGGGCCCTGCACTTTTCAGAAGCTGAGAAATTAAGATCTGTCTGACGCGGTGGCAAACACGTTCAGTGGAACAGCACAGCTGGGATAATGTGGAAGGCAACCTAGAGGCTAGCCAGACGTGAAACTCCCAGGAAGGAGGGTGGAAAAGCACACTCAATTAGGGGTGCTGTTGGCACCAGCAGCATTTAGCATGCTGTTGGAGAAAGAGATGCATACAGACGTGAGTCAGCAACTGACCAGCAGAATCAAGAAAACAGGCAAACTAAATTTTGGGGGGTTTGCAGGGTTAGAAACGGTGATTGCTTTGAGACCCCAAGCAGCCAAAGATGAAATTAAGAAAGGTTTTAAGCAAATGGTGTGGGTGAAGCCAGGTGCCCGAGATCAGACGAAAATAGGGACTCCTGTACCTACAAGACTTTACTTCCCAGGTGCCTGTCAATTCGGTGTGCTGGTGTGATTCACTTCTTGTTAAAAAAAAGGTACTCAGAAGGAGGCCAACCCTTCCAGACCTGAGTCATGAAAACCTCCTGTGTGAGTGTGTGTGCTTTAACCGTGCCTTCTGCTGTTACAATGTCAACCCAGGGCCTCTCTCAACCTAGATCCATGAGTGTCTGTGTGGAACAGAGCCCTGCCCCACACTCTTCCCGGATATTCTTGTACTTAACTTTCATGGTGTTAAGCCACTAATTCCTCAACTGAATAGTAACATTATTAATGTTGAAATTTGTAAAGCACTGTTTAATGACATGAATTATTTAACAAATATTTTAAATTATAAAAATGGGTCATGATACACAACATATTGTTAATCCATGCGTCGTTTAAATATACATATGGCTAGAAGATTGCTGAAAGCTCTATGCTAGTGTGTCCATAAAACTTATTTGTAATCATTGGGACGAATGATTTTCATTTTCTTCTTTGTGTCTTTCTATATTTTCTAAATTGTCATTAATAAAGGCATGTTTCAGATTAATTATCACAATTGTAGTTTGTGTTAAGTAAAGAAAATGATACATTTTCTTTAAAAGAAAAATTTAAAAATGTTTCTGGAGAAAAATAAAACACACCATACCTATATGTTTCTTCTTTTTTTTTTTTTTTTTTTTGAGACAGAGTCTCTCACTGTCGCCCGGGCTGGAGTGCAGTGGCGCAATTTTGGCTTGCTGCAACCTCTACCTCCTGGGTTCAAGTGATTCTCCTGCCTCAGCCTCCTGAGTAGCTGGGACTACAGGCACGTGCCACCATGCCTGCCTAATTTTTGTATTTTTAGTAGAGATTTTTCACCATGTTGGCCAGGCTGGTCTTGAACTCCTGACCTCATGATCCACACCCCCCACCCCCACCAGCCTCCCAAAGTGCTGGGATTCCTCCATGTTTCTTCTTTTTGTCTTTAGATTAAATGCTATTTCCAGAAAAGATCATTTCCCATGATCACAGTCTGAGCATGCACACATATTCAAATGCACACACACACACATGCACATGCACACACGAACACATATGCACATACACAGATGCATGCATATGTACATACACAGATGCATACATATGCATATGTGCATACATGCACATGCATACATGAACAAATATGCACACACATGCATGCATGCACATGCACACGAGCACACACATATGCACACACGTGCACCCATATGCACATACACACATGAACACATGCACACGCATGTACACATGCACCCATATGCACATACACATATACACACATGCACATACACTCAGGAATACATGTGCACATGCACACATAGGTACATACACTTATGCACAGAAAGCCTAATAGGTAAGACCACCACTAATAGTTCCAGGCAAGGCGGTAATGATCTAGCTCACACCTAGCTCACAGTATGTATTAGACGTCGAGCAACACTGTGCAATGTGAAGTCTACAGGACGGGGACTAGAGAGACACACTGGAGCAAGTGTGCACTTACACTTTTTAACCAAACCTATTCTTTAAGTTGTGGTCAAGCAATTCTTCAGTGAACTTAACATTTTCATCGAGGATACTGTATTATAACTAAAGAACCTGGTAATTTGCGTGTGGCTCTGTGCTTGTCACACTCTCATTACAGGTGGTGGGTCCACATCATTCCTAGACATGGGAGCTTGAAGGCAGCATTGTGCAGTGATGAAAAAGCTGGAAAGTTAAATGAGGAGAAATACATAGGTTATTTGGAAGGACTCAGGTAAGCCAGGTTCATGCCCGGTGGGCAGGCTCTTTCATGAGATGTAGGCAGGGGCTGTGAGGCTGGAATCCACAGAACAATGACCGAGCAGGAACAAGTCAAGTCTTAAATCCACATCTCAGGTGGAGACAACTGGCTGTGCACCTCGATTTCTTTGTCATTTAAACACAAGTGGGGCTGGGTCCACATGGGTTGTGCATCTGAGGCCAAGCTGGTTACAATGACAGGGACTAGTTGTGGTTTCGGGATCTCTGCATTTCATTTTGGAGGGCACTGGCGTAATCTGGCCTGTAATGTTCATGTTTTACAAGAAGCGTGGACTCAGTGGCTTTGACGTCTCTCTGGCAACAGATCAGGCACTGTGGGAATGTGGGGTGGGAAGCCTGCAGGATCAGCTCCAGGGGGACATTGCTTGTGTGCTGAGCTTGGTGTTCAGGAGTGGCTGTGGTTGACCTCAGTCTCTTTGCTTCCACCAGAGCACAGGGGCTTTGGTGGCGATGGCGTCATCCTGTGCCAAGTGTCACATTGCAACATGGTCTGCTGCCTCCTTGGCCCAGATGGTGTCGGAACATCACAGTTTGCTGTTTGTTCAAGCAACAAGCCTGGCTGAGCATGAGAAGAAAACTTGCACGTGGGAAACAGAGCAATAATAGAAGCGCTATCCTGGAGAGAAAATCTGCACTCCGTGACGTGAAGAAACAGGAGCGAGCCAGGCCCAGGTGCGATTCGACTCATAGATTCAGAATGTGGCCGAGTGTGTGTCCTGGACGCAATTCCAGGTTTCCAGTGATTTGAAAGGCCCATCGGCTCATGGTTCGTAGGGCTCGTGTGGATACTGGTGCCTTGTTGATAAACACGCACTTTCTTCCCACTGCTTCACCCAAACATGCTGCTTCTGTTCTGCTGCCCGCATGGTCAATGGCTAAATCATTCGTTTCAGTTTTCAGTCAAGACACTTTTAAGAATTCTAGCTACACCTTATTTGTGTTTGTTTGTTGATACCTACAAATCCAAACATCAGGGCATATGGTGGCTATCTACTCTAAAACAGGTGAATCCATCACTGCTAGCCCCAGACTGTAATCTGAGCCACCCTCATCTCTCACCTGGCAAAGCCACCTGACCCCTGACCCCACCCAGGTCCATGCTCTATGCAGCATCTAGAGCAAACTTTATGGAGAGGAGCTGACGCCACTTTCTTGCTCCAGGCTTCTCAATGGCTTCACAGCCCAGAATACAACAAGCCTCCTTCCTCAGGGTCTCCATGGCCCGACCTGCTCACCTCCATTCCGTTTGCTTCGCTTCCTCACTCATTCGTTCTAACCCAACAGTGGCCTCTTTTCTCTGCCTTAGTTAGTCCACCTCAGGGACTGTCACTTGCCTTTTCTACTAATTTTAGCGCCTGTCTCTGGAACACCTGTGGCATTTGCTCACATGCTCCTTTAGGGCTGTGCTTACTCTGCCATACAGAGGAGAAGGCCTGGCATTGACACACCATGCTGGAAGCCCCGCACTCGCTCTCCAAGGTGGCTTGGGCTCTGATGATTTCCCACGATGGCTCTGAGCGTGGACCTCTGTGACAATCCCTGTGCACATACGCACTGGCCTATTTGGGGATCGTTCCGGGCTACCCAACTAAAATACAATTCCTGGGATAGCAGACACATTTTCTTTCTTTTCTTTGTAATGGCTGTATTCCCAGCACCTAAAACAAAGTCTGGTAAGTGATGTTAATAATCCTTTGTCAGAGAATTATGGAATGAATATTAAGAACTTCCAATGATTTAGATACGCCAGTGAATTTTTTATAAAGCAATTAATACGTTTAACAGGCCAACAAAATGATAAGTGGCCTTCATGAACTATGATAACAGATGTAAAATTTACATTGTTTCCATTAAAGGCGTCTTCTCTTCAAGATGTCTGGGAGGCTCAAAGCTACCTCTCCACATTATTCAGTGACTTCGATATAACGGCTGGCACTATTGGCCTCCTTCTACCTTTTCAATCATATATATTTACTTGCTTTACTACAGAATGTCAGCTCTCTGTCTGAAGTAATTAAAAGGCAGTATATTAATGCCATAATATAGAGAGGCTCAGGCTGCTATGAGAGAGTGGGAAATAAAATGAAGAATTCAATATTAAAAAGGGAAGTGAAGGATAATTCTGCTCAAATGCATCAGAAAAAGGAAATCCACAGGAAAGGTTTTGATGTGCATTTTTCTGATGAGGAATTAGGCAGTTCCACAAATAACCAGTGTCAATTCCAGCTCATAGCAACAAACTCCCCAATTCACAGTTAGGAGGCACAGCCTGAGCAACAGAGCAACGTGTTCAACTAGAGCTTCCAGTGCGTGCTTCTTCAACATCCGAGCAGCGTGTCTGTACGTGAGGGTCCCAGAGGAAATGAATGAAAGCACACATGAAAACACCACACCTGGAAAAAGAAAGGGCATTAGGCTGAAGATGTTGTCTTGGGTGGCTCACGGTGCCATGCAAAGCACCACAGGCTGGATGGCTTAAATAACAGAACTTTATTTCTCAAAACCCTGAAGGCTGGGAGTCCCAGATCTGGGTGCCTACTGATTCAGTTTCCAGCGAGGGGCTCCCTTCCTGGATTGCGGACTGCAGCCTTCTCACAGTGTCCTCACAAGGCCTTTCCTCTGCGTGTGCAGGGAGATTGAGCTCTGGCCTCTTCCTCCTGTTGTAAGGACACTAACTCTATCTTATGCCACCCTTATGGCCCCACTGAGCCCTAGCCACCTCCTTAGAGGCAGTGTCTCTACGTACTGTGATGGTGGGGGTCAGGGCTTCGGCAATGAATGTTACACTGCCACAACTCCATTCATATTAGATTTGCGGTCTCAACAAAAGTCTGAAAATGGTGTCTAAAGAAACAAATAGAGGAGAATCTAAAGCCTTGGCCAGAACCTGTAGGAAAGGGCTTTAAGTTTCTCTTTTCAATTCAGATAACGATAGTGTCACCCCCACATCTAGAGTTTGAGTTGTTCCTCAGAAACAGCCATCATATGTTAGTTGTGGACCTTTTTAAAAAAAAAAAAAAAAGATTGATACAAAAGAGATCACCAAGGTCTCAGATGCCCTTTTGCTGTGACCAACAGACTAAAATATTTCTTTCCCTAGCACTCATTTCCTTTATCTTACTTGTAATTTTATTTTCCCCTGATGGCACTTTATGCTCTCTTCATATATATATATTTTTATATATAATTTAATTTATAATTATGTTTTAATTATATATAATTATTATATATAAATTATATACAATTTAATTATATATAAATTATATATAATTTTATTTTATTTATGTATTATATATAATATAATACATTATATATTTAATTTTCTCTATTACATTTTTTGCATACTGTCTCTGAGGCAAATCTCTCTCTACCCTTATCTGCTGAGCTTGACTCCTTTGAAGCAATGTAGAGATTCAAGAGAGAATTGACTAATAAATCTGATTTTGTAGACATGAAATGTAAAATTAAATGTGAGTATAGTTATTCTCCTTCCAGTAGCCTAGCTGATCCATTAATATCAAGAATCACAGACAGTAGAGGTAAACTTTTGGCTCCTTGTGATATTAAAACAAGCCAGCAAACAGAGCACATATTCATTACAATTGTTGATTTTTTTCAGCAATTTTTATTCCATTAGTTCCTCTAACTTGCTCATATGCACAATTCAAATAAATTCCAGATTTAGTAAAACTAGTTCAATTTTATAAAATGTTATAAAGCAAATCATGTCACAACTTCATAGTTATTGTGTTATCTATGCCTTTACACCATAATACACATTTAAAATCAAAACATTTCTTGTCTGCTAAATTGTGAAATTTGTTTAAATTTTAATACTCCTGTTCATGATAGAATAAAATTAGCACAATTTTGCCGGAAGGATTAATTGGTAATTTTTTTAGAAGGAAATGGTGGTTAAAAAAAAAAATCAGAAGCCCTAAGTATTTAAAATCCATTTGGTCCAATAATTTTATTGATAGAAAGCTTGTCTTGGAAAATAATAATAATAATATGTAAACAAAAGTGTTTAGCACAAATATGCTAATAGCATCATCATTTATATTTGTGAAAATTTTAAAACAAATAGGCTACAATACGGTTTTAATGAAGTAAAGACTCCTGCAGCTACACTGACAGAATATAATGTAACCACCAAGAAAGATGTCAATAAAAAAGAGTTACAACATGAAACATACTTATTCTATGATGCTTACTTACTATGTAGTACTTTGAAAATTGGCTGTACCTGTGTTCCCACAGAGCTAACAGGGAGAGCAAGAGAAAGATCTAGTGGCAGATGGGGAGCAAATGACCCATGGAGCTGAGTGTCCTGGGAACCTCGAGCATCAGGGGCTCTGAGGGACAAGCGGACACCAGAAAGACAGCGGAGAGTTTCACGCATCCCCTGGGACACTGGAGAATCCTTGATTAAGACCCTCTGGGCCTACCCTGTTCTGGAAGCGGCACTGCTCCAGCGCACTTCCTGACCACACGTCAGACGCCTGCAAAGCAATAACGGTTTTAGAAAAGAATTCAACATGCGTGTGGAGTCCTAACGGGGGAAAGGGAGTTAGGCTAGTGGGACAGAGGAAAGCAAAACGAGAAGGCAGATAAGCTATAACTCTGCCTTTCTTCATGGTCCAGGATACAGAGCCCTCCTGCACAAATAACTCACAATTTTGCTGTGCCCAATTCTTCCCAGACACCTACCTGCAAGTTAGTTCACTGCAACCTTGGCGTTGTTAGTACTGCACAAAGCCCTCTATAGCACACAACATAAACACTATTCTATAAAATCCCCAGCAAGTCTTTGTTTTCTTGCAGTCACCTCCGTTTTGCTGGTCTGCTTGTTTTGTTTTTGTTTGTTTGTTTGTTTTTGCAATGGATTTTCATATTTTTTCTAATAAATTTGCCCTATATTTACAAAAAAATAAATTAAAAAATAAAATAATGCGACAAAGCACAATGCATTTCTTTCATTTTCTGCCCACATGGGACACTGGGTTATCAGCTCTGTTTACCAAGGCTTGAAACACTCTTTAACCAGGAACTTTAGGAAAATCCCAAGATGCTTTGAACATTATTGGTCCCAAACTTTGAAAGAGCATCATCTTTGTAAGGTTGCAGTGATGGAAGTATCTGAGTTCCTTTGGCTGCTTTAACAAAAGACCATAGACTGGGTGGCTTGTACACAACAGGATTTTATTCCTCAAGTTCTGGAGGCTGGGAGACTGTGATCAGGGTGCAGGCATGGTCAGGCTCTGATGAAGGCTTTCTTCCCAGCTGCCAAGTGGCCACCTTCTCCCTGTGTCCTTACATGGTGGAAGGGGTGAGGGATCTCTCTGGGGTCTCTTTGTAAGAGACCCACTTTTTAGAGACCCATTAATCCCACTTTACCCTGATGACCTCATCTTCTCCCAAAGCCCCACACTACCTCTTACTACCAACATTTCATCTACGTGGTTAGGATTTTAACATATGAACTGGGGAGGTGGGGAAACCAGCTTATGACCACCTTAGAATCTGAGCCTTTATTCTGTCTTTGTGTATGGGTGAGGGTGTGGCCAGAGGCAGAGGTGCTGTGGGGTCCTTTTCACTGTTAATTAAAATTAATACGGTAACCTCTGCTTCACTGCACTCTGACATTTTCTGTGAAATGCAAAATAATATCTCCCAGGGTTCTGGTTAATTAAGTGATGTCAACATAGGACAGAAAAATTACTTAGAAAAAAAAATAGGCTCCAAGAATAAAATGTCAACAGGTTGACTGTGAGTGTGTTAGCTTGAAAGTATTTATTTTCTTCTTTAAAAGAAACTCTGCATATTCCAGATTGGTTTTAGTGATCATGCACCTATTTATATAGAAAAACCATTGTTTTTCCTAAACAATAATGTCTAACCATGCCCTGATTTTTGGGTGGTGTACTGTCATAACTGGATGCAGATGTTCCTCACTAACTTTCCTTCCTCTGACAGTTACGGAGTTATGAGAGAGGAGAGATGTTTGTGTACATTTGAAATTACAAGTATAAAAATCCATCATGTGTATACCTGGGTCCAATGCACTCTGCAGAAAGACGTGAGGATGGATTCCCCTGGCCACTCACTCATGCATAAGAGCATGTAATTGGGCATACATGATCCAGAGTGTGCCTAAACAGTGGCCATCTATGAATGTGCCTCATATCTTCTGACTAATTACAAGTTTCTAGAAGGCAGAGACTCTGATTTAACCTCACCAGCTGGCATCTATGAGGCATATTTGTTGAATAAAGCATCTCTGTGGGCCCGATGCTTTAAACCAGGATTCAGTCTCCAAGAGCCTCTCAGTTTATTTGCCTGATGTCCAATTAAAGGCCCAAAAGGTTATTTATAAATGCAGATGCTCTCTCCATAGTAAAAGGGAACATATTTCATTCATAGGTTTTTAGTCATCCAGCCACAGCCTGAGGACAGCAAATCCTGTCACATAGAGTCATCTGTTTATCCTGTTGTTGGTGTCTGTTGTTTGTCTTAACTCATTAGGGTTGTGATATTCTGATCTTGGTAGGTGAGTAGTTTTCTAATGCATCCTGAACATTGTGGGTGTTGTGTTTTGAGACACTGTTTCCTACTTAAATCTTATTTTAGCAGGTGAACATGCTAAAAGCTTGATATTGTTTGGCCCTGTCCCCACCCAAATCTCATCTTGAACTGTAGTTCCCATAATCCTCACATGTCATGGGAGAGCCCTGGTGGGAGGTAACTGAATCATGGGGGCAGTTTCCCCATGCTGTTCTTGTGATAGTGAGTGAGTTCTCACGAGATCTGATGGTTTTATAAGCGTCTGGCATTTCACCTGCTGGCACTCATTCTCATTCTTGCCACCCTGTAAAGAGGTGCCTTCTGCCATGATTGTAAGTATCCTGAAGCCTCCCCAGTCATGTGGAACTGTGAGTCAATTAAACCTCTTTTCTTTAAAGGTTACCCAGTCTCGGGTATTTTCTTCGTAGCAGCAGAGGAGGGACTAATACATAGGTCTAGCCCATGTGTCCTGGCCACTTTGCTGACTGCGGTTCGAATGTCAATTTTCAAAGTCTCTGTGGGGTCACCTGGCGGTACTGCTGGCGCACTTCCCACAGGCAGCTCTGACACCTGGGCAGCACTGGGCACTCTGGTTCAGTTCTCATGCCTTTTGCTGTGCTGGTTCTTGTCAGGTCCACATGTGAGTCGCTCAGGAGCAGCCTTGGAGGTTACACAGCCCTGGAAAGAATGCAGTGGGTCCATCTGCTTACCCTCCCCCCACACCCCAGCCAGGCAGAATGCCCACTGTGAGAGGACACAAGTGCCATTTCATGGTGTTCAGCGGGGCAGGGAGAGCATTGCCACAGAATTCCATCCTGCTGGGCCACCCCTTTCAGGTGCCTGTGGCTAGACAGAATGGGTTTTTCTTAGACATTTTATAAAATCTCCATCATTATTTCCAGGTTAAGGGCCTCTCCAGACTGGGCATTTCTGGAGGGGAGAAAAAAGGAAGTCACGACTGTATCCTTTCCCATGACTCTTTAGACAATCTGACTTCTTTTCTTTAAGTTGTCTGGGGAGGCTGAGGCAGGAGAATGGCGTGAACCCGGGAGGCGGAGCTTGCACTGAGTCGAGATCGTGCCACTGCACTCCAGCCTGAGTGACAGAGCTAGGCTCCGTCTCAAAAAAAAAAAAAAAAAAAAAAAAAAAGAGTTTCCTGATCTAGTTTTCTGTATGTCTGAGATTTTTAAACTGTAATCATCTGAATGGAGTGAAATATGTTTACTCCATCATGTCCAGAACCAGCAGTCAAGTTGCCATAATTATTTGGCATATACAAAGATATCTCAAGGCAAAATTTAATGGGAATCACAAAAGAAAACATTGAGCAGAGAGACCATTAATTACACACATATTCTAGTTTGAGACCTTTATTCCGGTCCTATGCCTATCAATCTGCTGAGAGACAATGTCAGGAAAGCAAGACACTTGGGATAAAGGGATTGCTCTTGAGTATTGTCTCCTTTTCATGCTGAGGCAGCTCGGGGACTAGAAATAAAGAAATTCACCAACATGAGCTTGGAGCAGAAGTTTGGCTCAAGAGCAAAATTTCATCCCTCAGAGGAGGAAAGGCAGGGAGTGGAGCCCGGAACGCAAGCTAGAGGGAGCTTAGGCATTTTATACTTTCACTGTGACTCCTCAAGTCTTTGTATTTCTTTCAAGTATTTCAGCAAGTTTGATTTATCAAAAAAGAACAGCTATGTCACAGTCCTGAGGATACCCGTTCTAAGCACATTCTAGCAGAAGGAGAGTGCATCCATGGTCAGGAAGACAGGACATTGACAGGACAATGGCTTCCATGAGACCCGGTCTCACCTCCCCTTCCTCAGTGACAGAGGGAAAGAAAAAATGCCATTGGCATGAGTGTTATTTTCATTTTAAATAATTAATATATATTTAGTATTAGCCACATGTGGTCCTTCCCGACTTCTTACTTCTTGCACAGCCAAGGCTCTGGAATCCTTCCACTTCTGCCAAAGAACTCACTTTGATATGTTTACTAGTTCAGGTCTATAGGTGATTAATCCTTCCAGATTGTATTATATTTGACTGCAGATGTCTTTATTTGGCCTTCATCACCATCATCATCAATGTAAATATGTTATTCCATTTTCTGTAGATTCTCATCATTTCTGTGCTCTTTGCTTAAAAAATAATCTCTGCTAATATTTCAGAATGATTTAGTAATTATATCTCCAGATGATTTTAAGCTGTTGTTTCTTCTTTAACTTTGTTGTATTATGTCTCAAGGAGTGTTTTTTGTAATATTTATCCAACTTGGGGTGAAATGGCTTCTTGAATCTTTAATTTGATTTTTTTTAGTCATGTATGGGCACTGTTTGTGCTGCCTTTCTTCAAATATTGCTTTTGTCCTATTTATTATCTCTCTCTCTCTCTCTCTCTCTATATATATATATATATAGAGAGAGAGAGAGAGAGAGAATATATATATAGAGAGAGTATATGTATATATATATAGAGAGAGAGAGAGTATAGAGATAGAGATATATATAGAGATATAGAGATATAGAGATATAGAGATATAGAGATATATATAGATATATATGTATATATATGTATATATATATTTGTGTGTGTGTGTATATATATATATATATAGAGAGAGAGAGAGAGAGAGAGAGAGATAATAAATAGGACAAAAGCAATATTTGAAGAAAGGCAGCACAAACATTGCCCATACCTATATAGATATAGATATAGATATATATGTATATATATATAGAGAGAGAGACAGAGACATATATATATATAGCACCTAAGATAGCGTGAGGCTTTGAATTGGCAGATTATTTTCTATCAAGGAGTGGAAGAGGATGAGTAGGAAAACTTCTGCCACAACTATAGTGCTGGAGTGGAGTAGGGCTGAAACTGGGGTTGGGCCTTCTATAGCCGAGGGAAGTCAGGGGTGGAGACCAAACTGCTATTTGAGGCTTCTACTGTGTTGGGTGTTTTTAATTACCCAATTTTTATCAACTCCAGAATGGATGACATTTTCTGGTATGTGTATGTAATGAAATATAATGCAGCAGGGAAAATAAATTAACTGCAGCTTCAAATTTAAGCTCCTTTGATTACTATATACATATATATACATATGTATGTGGTTTGTGTAAAAGTAATTGCAGGTTTTGCAATTGCTTTCAAATGGCAGAAACCACAATTACTTTTGCACCAACCTAATATAGATAGATAGATAGATAGATAGATAGATAGATAGATAGATTTGGTTTTGTTCCCTTCTTCTTGTCTGTGTTATGTGGGTGGAGATGGTTTTTATTCTTTTATGACTATTTTGTTTTATCCTTTGTATCTTTGATATATTTAATATCCATTGTTCAGAGCTTTGCCATTACTTGAGTACCTATTAGTTATTATTATTTGTGTATCAGGAGTGTGTTTAGTATGTTTTAATTGCAGTAAGCCGACCTCCAAAGATTTCCTTCTGAAAATGATTTTTCCCCTCCCTAATTTTTATATTCCTTACTGTTTTACTAAATATTAAGTGTTCCTTGACAATTTTAGTGTTCATGTGTTTTGGGGACAAAAGTAAAATAAATCTGTCATTATACCAGGAAGTTAGTTTGTTTTAAATCCTCAGATCAAATGTGCCTTAAAACATTTTTTTCATTTAGATTTCAAGCAGTGATAGACTTGCCATTTTAATACACATCGTTGGAGATCTACTTATTGGTAAATAACCTGTTGCTCATTTGGAAGAATAAACCAGTGAACAATATTTTTCTATTGTACTTTTCACAATCCTCTTGTCTCATTATTCCTGTTTTAGCTGAAGAATTGTTTTATATGTGGAGAGTAAAAAATTTAAACACACAAAAAAATCTAATAGATCTATCAATTATCTATCTATATCTCTATATAGATATAGAGAAATAGATCTATACATAGAGAGAAATATATATTCAAATTTTGCTATATAGAGATTATATAGATATCTATATATATATAGAGAGAGAGAGATCTCCCCCAGCCCCTCTTTCTGCCCTTGTCTTCCTTATCATTTTGAGAAAAAAAATTACATGTATTTAGACCTTTTCACCAAGGGCTAGATATATCTTTTAAACTTTTATCTGTTTTCTTCATTACTTCTTCATTTTATGATTTGTTCTAAATACTTTCTCCTGATCTATATTCCGGTTTATTAGTACTCTCTTCTACTATTTCTAATGTCTTAGCAAGCACTTCTACTGGATTAATACATTTAATAATAGTTAATTATGTACTATACTTTCTATCTTATAGGTTCTATTCCTCTGGTGAAATTTTTATCTTATTTTCTAATTTATTAAACATATTGATCCTAGTTTAGAATTTGAGACTGATAGTATCTGGTTTACCTACCGGTCTGCTTCTTAGACATTAAGTGGTTTTTATTGAAGATGGCACATTAGGCATTAAAAATAGTAAATGATCTGTCTTGTTTTCTTTTTCCACATCAGACTTTATTTTATTCTGGCCCATAGTTACAATGACAAAAGCTCGCTTTGATGCAAGCAGAGACTGAAGTGACTTTGTGATAGCTGCTTCATTTTTAATGTCACTGTCTACTCTTGAAGTGGGGCTCTTTAAGATTTTTCTCTTGGAAACCTGTGATACGTACCAGAGTGTTTGTCTGTTCAGCTCTGCTTGGGGTTGAGCCTCTTAGAAGCTATTTTCTTTTGATTTCTAGGCTTCTCACCCCTTATCAGTTTAGAATTTAACAAGTGCTCAGAGAGGAAATTCCAGGCAGAATTTCAGGCTCAGTTCTTTGTAATTTCCTTTTCTTCAGGGTTGTTTCTCCTCAATTCCTATGTGTATTGATTGCTTTCCAATGACTTCAAGCAGTTTGAGCTCTTGTGCAGTTTATTCAGCTATTTTTCGTTGACTTTAATGAGTGAATAATACAAGCTATGATAATATAGATGAAAGCAGAAATGTTTTCTTCAGTTTTCTTAAATGTTAATTTCCTTAAGGTCAGGAACCAACTGACAGGTTTATATTTATGTCACCAGCAGCTGTTTCTGAGCCCACATATGACCTGTCTTCCATGTGCCCAAAATTACTCATTTCATACACTTTATAAACAGAGCATAATTCTCTGTTTCTCTCTTGCTTGCTGTTACTTTACTACATTTTGTTTATTGATTTTTATCTACACTGTATGCAGAGACAGATTTTAAAGTATAGCTGAAGTCACATGATTACAGAGTCATGGTCTTTTCCACTCATCCACACACCCCTTTCTCCTGCCCCCTCACATTAGAAATTAAGGAAAGTACTTTAACTTCTGGGTAGTTTCTATCGTTTTTTGTGCCCATATTTCTAAATAACACACTCGTGCTACTTGGACAGAAAAATAAATAAAAATTAGCTAACAGAGATCCGTGGTTGTAAACGAAGATGTAAGACAATATATGTGTGTTTGTATACTGTTATAAAGACACTTGCTGCTGGGTGTGGTGGTTCACGTCTGTAATCCCAGCACTTTAGGAGGCCGAGATGGACAGATCACGAGGTCAGGAGATCAAGACCATCCTGGCTAACACGGTGAAACTGTCTCTACTAAAAATACAACAAATTAGCCGGGCGTGGTGGCTGGCACCTGTAGTCCCAGCTACTCGGGAGGCTGAGGCAGGAGAATGGCGTGAACCCGGAAGGCGAAGCTTACAGTGAGCCGAGATTGTCCCACTGCACTCCAGGCTGGGCGACAAAGCGAGACTCTGTCTTAAAAAAAAAAAAAAAAAAAAAAAAAAAAAAAAAGACACTTGCAGCTGTTACATCCTATGGGAAGGTTTAATCTTTCCCTGAACCTCAGAGATTAACACGCAAAAGCCGGTGTGGCTGCAACATAAATGTATTATGCCAAAACAAATTTGATCTCAGCACGGTAAATCTTCCTAAATTACAGGCTGATCTTTTCGAAGTGGGTGCTGTCCATGGTACATACAGTAACCACTCTAATCTTCAAGCATGACCACTCTTTCCAACCACGCCATTCAATCTCACGGTCCCCCCATCCTACCTGCACGACCAGTCTTTCCAACCACCCCATGCAATCCCACGGTCCCCTCATCCTACCCGCACGACCACTCTTTCCAACCACCCCATTCAATCTCACGGTCCCCCCATCCTACCCGCACGACCACTCTTTCCAACCACCCCATTCAATCTCACGGTCCCCCCATCCTACCCGCACGACCACTCTTTCCAACCACCCCATTCAGTCCCACGGTCCCCCCATCCTACCTGCATGACCACTCTTTCCAACCACCCCATTCAATCTCACGGTCCCCCCATCCTACCTGCATGACCACTCTTTCCAACCACCCCATTCAGTCCCACGGTCCCCCCATCCTACCTGCATGACCACTCTTTCCAACCACCCCATTCAGTCCCACAGTCCCCCCATCCTACCTGCATGACCACTCTTTCCAACCACCCCATTCAATCTCACGGTCCCCCCATCCTACCCGCACGACCACTCTTTCCAACCACCCCATTCAGTCCCACGGTCCCCCCATCCTACCTGCATGACCACTCTTTCCAACCACCCCATTCAATCTCACGGTCCCCCCATCCTACCTGCATGACCACTCTTTCCAACCACCCCATTCAGTCCCACGGTCCCCCCATCCTACCTGCATGACCACTCTTTCCAACCACCCCATTCAGTCCCACGGTCCCCCCATCCTACCTGCATGACCACTCTTTCCAACCACCCCATTCAGTCCCACAGTTCCCCCATCCTACCTGCATGACCACTCTTCCCAACCACCCCATTCAGTCCCACAGTCCCCCCATCCTACCTGCATGACCACTCTTTCCAACCACCCCATTCAGTCCCACAGTCCCCCCATCCTACCTGCATGACCACTCTTTCCAACCATCCTGGGCCCTCCTGAAACCTGACTGTTGGCCTCGTTTACACAGTCACACCTCATATGCATCGGGACTGAGAGTGCAGTGGAAATTGTCCAGGATGGAACCCACCTAGTAGTAAATCATTATTCTTACACTCTTCTGAAGGAAAAAAACATACAAACAAAACAAACTGCTGTTCGAGGCTTCTACTGTGTTGTGTGTTTTTAATTACCCAATTTTTATCAACTCAAGAATGGATGACATTTTCTGGTATGTGTATGTAATGAAATATAATGCAGCAGGGAAAATAAATTAACTGCAGTCTTCAAATTTAAGCTCCTTTGATTACAATATACAGATATACATATATAGTAATAAGTACTATATCAATATATAAGTACTAATAAGCTTATGTATTAATATAGTACTTATATAAGCATATTAGTACTTATATATTAATATATTAACATAGTATATAAGTATACTACAAGTATATATAGCATATTATAGCATATATAGGTATACTACAAGTATATATAGCATATATATAGCATATTCAACATGGGATTTCGGTGGGGACACAGAATCAAACTGTGTCATATATATTTATGGCTTAGGTTGTCATCTTCCAGTTGAAAATTTCAACTTCTGTATTCAGTATATCAGCAAGTTGCATTTACATTATATTCCTTTACATCTATTTACTTCATTCTCTGTTTTAACTCATTCTAAGCTGACACTCAAGCACATCAATTTTTAAATTCACCTGAAATCACATATGCACCTTTCTGTCACACAAAACAGTCAAAGTACACTTATTCATGAAGAAAATATAATATTGCATGAATAAGAGTAATCTGCCCAAAGAGAATCTGCCTAAAGCCCTTCAATAGTTTCCTAATACCCCTAGAGGTGAGACCAAAGTCCTTACTGTCATTTTTGCCAAAGCTATTTTCCTAATTGTCCTTCAGCAGCCTCAGACTAGATTAAATCTGCTTATTATGTGTTCTGATAACACTGCATTAATCCTAATTATCACTCAATTATTTGCTTTTATGCTTATTATTATTGCACAATAGCTGTGTTTTCCATTAGACTGTAAATGATGTAACGCCTGAACCAAATCTGAGTTTCTTGCAACTAGCATAGTGCAGAGTAGAACTTAATTATTTAATAAATGAATACCTAAATGGGGGTAAGTATTGTAAAGCAGAGAACAGTCCAAGAGGAAGTTCAAAGGTAAAGCACTTTAATTTTTATAATTTTGTCCAATTTAGTTAAGTAAATTCAAAATTCAATAAAAGTTATGAAAATTAAAAGTTCTGAAAAAAATTAAGATACAATTACAATAGTAAGACAAACGATAATTGTTTTCTCATTTGAATATCAACATTTATCCAAGAAAAACAAAAAGGCAGAAGAAATTACTATTGATAATCATGATACTTTGATTATGTTATACTAGAAGATATCATTTAATTCTTTGAAATATTTTTGATGCCCGTTATACTCACAACTATCTATGGCATTTGTCAATCTGATTGAACATCCCCATCTGCTAGAAGCTGACACTGAGGCATTTTAATATCCTTACTGAAGTTTACACATTTAGACTTCAGTTTTTATTTTTCCTCCTATGCTAGGAGGAAATGCTGGTTTCTTCCTTGCGGAAGTGCAGGGTTTGTTCCTCTATAGGAGATAAATACTTTTTTTCAAAACTAAATTAACATTTTGTCCAAGTCAAAACGTTTTGTCAGTTGCAATGCATAATTAGAAGGGGTGATAGAAAACATCTTTCTTGAACAATTAAAATGCAGAAGATGGGTGGCCAAGGCAGGTGAGTCTCTTGAGCCCAGGAGTTTGAGACCAGCCTTGGAAACATGATGAAGCCCTGAATTAGCCAGGTATGGTGGCACATGCCTATGGTCCCAGCTACTTGGGAAGCTGAGGTAGGAGGATGGCTTGAGCCTGGGAGGTTGGGACTGCAGTGAGCTGAGATCCTGCCACTGCACTCCAGCCTGGGCAATAGAGTGAGACTCTGTCTCAAAATAAATAAACTAATTAAATAAAAGTGAATAAATAAGTAAAATTTCTAATAAAATGCAGATGAAGGAGGTACTATGGGTTTGTCCCATTGAGTCTTCACACTGACTCTTAAGACGATATATATTTATCCTAAAAAAAAAAAAGAAGGCCGGGCGCGGTGGCTCACGCCTGTAATCCCAGCACTTTGGGAGGCCGAGGCGGGCGGATCACGAGGTCAGGAGATCGAGACCATCCTGGCTAACATGGTGAAACCCCGTCTCTACTAAAAATACAAAAAAAATTAGCCGGGCGTGGTGGCGGGCGCCTGTAGTCCCAGCTACTCGGGAGGCTGAGGCAGGAGAATGGCGTGAACCTGGGAGGCGGAGCTTGCAGTGAGCCGAGATTGCGCCACTGCACTCCAGCCTAGGCGACAGAGTGAGACTCTGTCTCAAAAAAAAAAAAAAAAAAAAAAAAAAAAGAAGCTGAGACTTGTAACTGTGTGAATCTTGCCCAGGTGTCCATACATGGCAGTCTCTGCGGGAATCTCTGCCGGGGGACCTCTGATGCCCCCACCCTGATAATGAAATTCCTCTTCTGTTTAGCTTTGCCAGAGGGAAGAGTTGGCTAATACCATAGAACAGCTTTGAGGCACCTTGCCTCATCATCTATCAATAATTCCCTTTGTCCTAGATTTTTTTTTTTTTTTTTTTGTGCAACACAGATAATTTTGCTTTTGTTAGGAAATTTTGCTATTAAGGGATAGGGCTGAAGTTCATCCATTCACAACAGACAGACGATATGTCCTTCACCACCAGCTCCCCAGCCCCATCGTTTCCTGTATTTTGGGACATAAGCTCTGCCCACACCTCTGTGGTCCTCTACATTACCACCAGTGATCTGGCATAACCTAGAGAGGAGCCCTACTGAGAGATCTTCAGTGATAGATGCTCAATTGTGGGCAGTTTTTGTACAGTCAGGCATTCCCTTGACAGTGATTCGTGTTATAAAGGGGGTCATATGAGCTGCAAAGTACATTTGCACATGGAGATGTCTGTGCCACGTCTCAGCACACTGAATGGTTATATGATGTTTAAAAGACAATTTCCATCATTTATATCCACCCCCCAAAATACATGCTATCAAATGTAACACACTTTTATTACAAAAGGGAGAATTGATGGATTTTTCTCACCAGGTTCCGAGGAAGCCTTCTTATCAGTTTCAGCAGTCTCAGCACGGTTGCCTGGATACTCAGTCTCCCTGAGTATTATTCTGATTAAAGGGCAATTTAGAGATTTTTTTCTAAAAAAAAAACTGAACTGTCATCTAGAAATATTATCAGCCCTCCCTTGCACTGATTTGTCAAGTGGCAGATTGAGCATTATTATTTAAAGATGGTTTTTCAAATGGGTAACATAAGAATGTGATTTTCCATTTTATCAGCCTCCTTTGGATATATATGTGCTAAATTTGGTGAAGCTTCTTTGGGGGAAAAAGAGTTCAACGGATTTGGGGAATTGTAGGGGCTAGGGAATGATTACAGTATGAACTAAGTCTCTATTTCACAATTTAAAGATAACAACCCCTTATTGTGAATCAAAGGCCATCAAAATGGTTCTAGGGAAAAAAAAGGACAAAATGCCTCAAAATCAGCATGTTTTTGGAGGGCTTTTTAAACACCTATCTCTAATACTGTCATTAGCAGATAAGAAAATCAAAGCCCAACGATCCTCATTGACAGCATTTCAGGAAATAAAAATCTATGCCTGTAATCCACAAATTTACATAATTCATTTGTATTGAGGTACATTTGCATATAATAAGGTGCATTTATTTAAGGGGCGCAATTTGGTGAGCTGTGATTTGTGTATTCATTCCTGGCACAGTCGCCTCAACCAGGAAAGGGAGAAAAACATCCGCATGTTCCCTTGTGTGGCTGTGAGGCCCCTTCCTCCTACCACTGCCAGTGAGCCACCCTCAGCACACGCTGATCTACTGCCCGTCCCGGCAGCTCAGTTTACACTTTCAAGAAATCTTTATAAATGAGAGCATAAAGTACACACTGCTTTTTTCTAACTTTTTTACTCCACATACTTCTTTTAAGAGTAATCCATGTTTCTGCAGGCATCCTTATTCCTTTTAATTGCTAAATAATATTCCCTTATAAGGATATACCAAATGTTGTTTATTCCCTTCACCTCTTCATGGCAGTTTTTGTTATTTTCAGTTTTCTACTGTTGCAAATAAAGCTCTTATAGACATCCATGTCCTTTGTAAGGACATATAGTAAGTATATATTTTAATTTTAAAGAAATTGCCAAATTGCTTTGCAAAGCAGTTGTGCAATAATGCATTCCCAGCAGTAATGTGTAAGAGAGCCACTTGCTCCACCTTCACGCAGCCATTTGTGCTGTCAGCCCTTGTAAAAGGTAGCCATCTTTTTTGGCTCAACAAGAGGAGTTTCGCTCTTGTTGCCCAGGCTGGAGTGAATGGCTCGATCTCAGCTCACCACAACCTCCGCCTTCTGGGTTCAAACAATTCTCCTGTCTCAGCCTCCCGAGTAGCTGGGGTTACAGGCATGCACCACCATGCCTGGCTAATTTTGTATTTTTAGTAGAGACGGGGTTTCTCCATTTTGGTCAGGCTTGTCTTGAACTCCTGACCTTGTGATCCACCCGCCTCACCCTCTCAAAGAGCTGGGATTACAGGCCTGAGCCACCGCTCCCGGCGTAAAGGTAGCTATCTTAGAAGATACTATGCTGGCTTTCACTTGGGTTTTCCCGAATAGCTAATGAATTTGAGCTTATTTTAAATATTCATGCATATTTGTCATCTCATATCTGATTAAGTTTATCTTTAAAACTTTTTCAAACTTATTAGTTGTATTAACTGTTTTGTTTCCTTGTTTTTGAACTTGGAGAGTTTTTATAGATCTTTATATATCTTGGATACAAGTCCTTTATCAGATACACATCTTGCAAAGATAATTTCAGGTGGTATTTTTGTTGTTCTTCTTACAACATCTTTCAAATAACAGTTCTCAATATAGATGAAGTCTAATTTATGATTTTTTAATTTAATGAATCATGCCTTTCGTGTTATATTAAGAAATCTTTAATTAACCCATGATTAAAAAGGTATTTTTCTATGTTTTCTATAAATTTTATAAATTTAGGTTTTAAAATGAAATATTTTATCCCTTTGACTTAATTTTTCTTCGATTTGAGTTATTTTATTCCTGTCTTCCAGGTCTTTATTCAACTTTTCAATATATTAAATTCAATCATAATAATTGCATCAGTGACTGCTAATTTTAACTTACGTGTCTGATCTAGTTCAATGTTGATTAATTGATAATTTTTCTAAATGTGAGCCTGTTTGTCTGCTTTTCTGCTGTGTCTGGTTGTCTGTAATCAGCTGCCAGGCATTGTGAATTTTTCTCTTGTTGGGGGCTGGAGGTTACTGTTTTATTGGAAATGTGATTGTGCTTTTTGCTAGGACACAGTTAAGCTACTTGGCAAGAGTGTGATTCCTTTGAATCTTGCTTTAAAGAATTTTAGGCACAACCAGAGCATGTGATATTAGTCTAGGCTGATCATGCAGCAAAACAGAAGCAAGGCTGCTCACGACTTTGCCCAGGGCCCCATGAATTACAGGATGTTCTTGTCTGTCAGGATGGCACAGCCCCGGTTTTCAGTCCTGAGTGAGTTCTGGCCCATTCTCTCGGGTTATCCTCCCATGTCCTGGCAAGTATCCTCAGAAGCAGTGACAGGACCCTGCTGTACCCTGAAACCCTGGAGGGGGGTTCCTGCAGCTGTCCTGAGCTGTCTTTCTGAGACAGCCAGGTTGGAAGGGCTCCTGGGCAAAACTCCAACCGACTGGCAACTAGGGCGGAGCCTCGGGAAGTTCGCATCCTATGCAGTGAGGAGGAGCGTGGTCCTTCCTCTTCCTGGAGCCCGCCCCCCTGTTCCTGTGTGGAAACTGGGATTCAATCTGTGAGGCAGGAAGTCTGCAGGATCACGAGCTCTGCCTCGTGTGGAGTCCCTGTTCCCCTCTTTTTCCTTTTTGCCCAATAAATCTCATTATTCTGACTTTTCAAATCGTCTGCAAGCCTAAATTTTGGGGGCCGTGTGAGAAGGACCCTGTCTTTAACTGAACTTAGGAAAAGTCCTGTAACCCTTCTGTGCGTCCCTCGTCCCTCCAGCACCGTGACCTGGAACCTGCACTGCCCTGACTTCTCCTGAGCCGACTCCTCCCTGCCTTGCCGGGACTGCAGCACCTTCCTGGGTTCCCACTCCCTGTGCCATGGCCAGAAGACCCCCTGAGGTCGCCAGGGAAGGAAATCAGCGCCGTTCTTCCTTTCCTGTCCCTTCAGCATCGCTGTGCTTCGTTGCTGAATATCCGGCGTCTTGAAAAACATGGTTTTAGAGACTTTTTCTGGTTTTACATATTCATTGTTTCAGGCAAGAGAGTAAACCCAGGGCCTGTGACTCTACTTGTCCAGAAGTGCATGTCCTCGACATTTTTGATTTTTGCTACAGGGAAATGGCTATAATCTAATAGTAATTATTAAATAGCTCTCCACGTTACAATCGGCTAAAACCACCCTAAGTGTTGCCCTCTGCAAATCGCTGCTCATTTGCTGCCACATCCCTGTATTGGCCACCTCGTGTTGCATGTGACGAGCCGCAAAGCAGGTCAGCACTGGGAGAGACACTGACGGGTCGCCTGGAATAAGAGCCTTAAATCAAAGGGAGCCCTGGAGTAGGGGCAGGCAAAGGCAAGGCTGGGTGGGAGGGCAGACAGAAGCAGAAGACAGACGTGGACATGGAGGAAGAGGGCGGCAGAAGACAAAGAGACAAGAGGTCATCTCTGCATTTTGAGCGGTCACGGACTCCTATCGTCCAAATTATGAGACTTTGTATTTCCGATATTTTAAGTTTGTCTATTATTTTCCCATTTCAATCATTTCTTAAGAACAATGTGGTAATAGAAGTAAATAAAACAAACTCAGTGGGGAAATTTGATGGATTTTAGACATCCACAATGAAAAGCTTTTTTAAAAAATAAATTTTTATATATTTTGGTAACAAGTTCCTAACACCTATGACCAAAAAAAAAACAAACAAACAAAAAAAAAAAACAAAACTGTGAGTGTTTCACATTTAGCTACTTTAAATGTAATTTACACTCTCCGTCCTGCCTCATGTTGTTTAAAGTGTGAATTCGATTCTTCTAAAGTGGTATTTAAGAACTAGTTCAAATCAAATACTTCAGTTTAGTTGTGAAAAAAACACAATTGAAAACATTCCCTTAGAGGGTCTGGGCAGATTCAGAACCTGATCAATCATAAAGATCCACATTTATAATGATTACTTTTTCAGGATCCTACCATCTATGAAGATTCATAGTAAGCTGATTGCTTGAGCTCAGGAATTTGAGACCAGCCTGGGCAACATGGCAAAACCCACCTCTACAAAAAAATACAAAAATTAGCCGGGACTTGTGGTGCACTCCTACAGTCCCAGTTACTCAAGAGGATGATGTGGGAGGATCACCTGAGCTCAGAGGTGGAGGCTGTAGTAAGCCATGATCACACCACTGCACTCCAGTCTGAGTGACAGGAAAAAAAAAAAGGAAAATTCATAGTGATATAATGACATCTGCAGACACGTAAAGGTCTCATGTGAATTATTTATGCTATAATCCTCAATCCCAGGGGCTTTCCGATATTATTATTCGCTTGACCTCAACAGTCAATTATTATAAGTTGAAGTATCATTGTCGAAATAATTGTAATTTTTAAAATGAGCTGAATTCAATTAAGCAATCATAGAACAGGATAATTCCATGTGTAGTGGGCAATAGGAAGATGAGACCAGTAAAGGCAGCTGGGAACGTGGGAACAGTGGTTTAAAGTCAGGCAATTCTGTTGGCCTCTCTAGCACCTGAATTAAGACAGGATTTGTTGCTGTCAAAGAAGTGCAGGGATCAGATTCACGAGCGAGAAATATCTGCAGACTCATAGGGATCAGCTTCATGAGGGAGAAGTATCTGCAGGTCTGCAACATTCCCACATAAAGGTCTCTATGTTCTGCTTCTGGAGAAATTCAATTTCCATCCCAAGAGATGGAGTCTATTATCAAATTATATTATTAAATAAAGACATTATAGATCAAGAATGCATTGGTTGGCTTTTTAAAAAAATGGTAATAAACTCTCTAATGTAAAGGCTTTGAGACATCAGGAACGTGGCATGGCAGAGTAGCCCACGTGATACTGAGAATGATTCAAAGATACTCACCTAAGATGCATTGACCTGGGCTGGTGATTTCTAGGATCACGAAGAGACTGTGTTTGAGAAAGTTTTTCTTTACAGGTGAGGAAATTATATTCAGCACATCCTTCATTTAATGTAAAATAGGAAAATCTCTTTCCACTTCACATTGTCGGGGGAAAGTAGCAGCCATGGTCCAAAGACTCAGAATACTCATTTGAACCAAGGCAGAAGGTTCAGGCCATCAAAATAAGTCGCCCTCTAGGTTAAATTAACCACAGACTTTCAGCTTCTAGAAGGAAACAATTCTAATTGTGAATATCGCTGATTAAATCAGCTACTTGGGGGGAGGCTTAAGCTAGTACATAACTAGACAAATATTGCTGAGAAGCAACTAATTGGGTCAATACAGATTGAAGAAAGAATTGTTTGGGATGTTCAGACAAGGACATCTTTATTGAAGCAGCTAAAAATAGATGAGTGGAAAAATGAATAAGTAAATAAATAAATGAAACAATTAGAGTAAAAAAAAAAAGATGAAACTACATTAACATCATCTTGCATCAGGCCTCCTCCGTATTTTGTACAGAAGTGATAAAACACAAAGGAATGCACACTTACCTCTAACTCTTGGTGTCTTGAATCCGCTCGCGTTCAGGCTCCACGCCAGCACCAGAGTGCTGTGTGTCCCTGTAGACAGACACCAAACCTTCTGAATCCAGAAACCAGGACAGTGTGGCCTGCAAATGTCACCCAGGCAAACAGGTCCCTCCAGACGGCTGGTTTGCCAGGCTTCCCTCTCTGCCAGTTCATTGTAAATTTCATACTCAAGGAATTTGGGTTCTAGACACAGGAATTTCTGTTCTGACTTCACTGCTAAGTTGCTGATTAACTTTGAATATTTGAGTTCTCCTCATACGCAAGTAAAAGGATAAAAGCTTAATAAACTGTAAGAATATTTGCAGTTCTTAATTTCTAAGCTCACTTTGCTGACTTGATACCTGAAAAGGATGGGAAGGCAGAGGCGGGTTTCACTGTCACTTTGCTGTCATAGCAGTAGACGTGCTTGGGCATGGCTGTGAAGGAGACGTCTGGTGTGAATGTTCTGCCGAGATACCTCCAGCCTCTGACTGATGGTTAACCGTGGGCTCTCAGCCTCAACACTCGGACATCCTGGGCTGCATCAGCTGTTGCAGGGACCATCCTGTGCACTGCAGGCTGGTCAGTAGCATCCTCAGATGCTACCTCCTAGATGCCAGGGACACTCCGCAGTGTGACAATAAAATTTTGATCATATGCCACCAAATGTCTCCTGGAGGGCAAAATCGCCCCCACTGCAGAACTGCCGGTGTATGTGAGGCTGAGTGAGACTGTCTATCTATGAATTATTCAATCCATTGCACCTGCTTTTAGTTCCAGAGGTAAGAACCTGCTCTCTGCCAGAAAGAATACGTGGAAGGACTTCCTTGATGCTTGAAGTAATTCACAATGATGACAATGTCTTCATCGACACATCTTTAAAAGACAATGCCAGAGCTTCTTGTGATTATCATAGTTGAGAAAGTGAAAGATTATGTCAACATAGTCATCCCTGACCTGTGGGTTGAGAGGAGATTAGAAATGGAAGTTGGGATAACATGCATTACTTTAACAATTATGAGTTTGGAAACTACCCTCTAGTGGTAACACACACACACACACACACACACACACACACACACATACACACACACACACGCTTCTCTCCCCCCTTAGTGAGCACCTTGAAGACAGGTTCATGGCATATGAACCTTTACAGTCCTGATCTATGCTATGCTCACGGCACACTGTTGATGCTCAGTAAAGTTTATGTTTGTTTGCTCATTAAAATTATAAATTTTAGAAACTGTTACTGAATAAAAGAACACCACAGAGTCCAGAGAATTAGACCTTAAACTTAGGGCTTGCTATTGCACCACAAAGTGAAAGTAAAAGCTCACTAAATAGAGTCATTTTGTCTAGCCAGATTTAAAATTATAAGCATGGGTAGATTTCAACATAAGTTTAACAGTGAGTAATGCATGGAGTATACCATTTCTTACAATTTACTAAATACCAAATCATTTAAAGATGATATACATAAATTTATATATCCCTCTGGGAAGGTATAAATACCCTTTCCTGATAAGGAAAGAAGAAAAACGGATACAGAGGCACCTCTGTCTCTGGTGCTTTATTTAAGATAGGGCTGAATAAAAACAGTAAAGATATTATTAAGAGTATGCCTTACACCAGCTGGAGCTTGTAAAAGAAAAACCATAAATAGTAGTTTAAATTATACAAAGCACTTTCTTGTGCCATTGCTCATTAAATTTCCAAAACAATTCTAAGTGATAGTATTATTTTCATACGTTTTTAATGGATGAGTTGACAAATTTCAGGAAGTCAAAGCCAATTGCTAATGATCATAGAGTCCATTTGCAGCAAATTCAAAGATTTGAATTTGAAATTCTGACTCCAAATCTTCTGCTCCTTCTATTGTACAGGCTTCTATTTGGAAACTTAAATTTTACCCTGGCTGTCAAACAACTAGGAGAGACTCTGATTCATCACCAGGGACTACAGTTCCCTGTGGGACCATGATTTTAAGAATATAAGCAAGTTTACCCAGCAACCTAGGTTGGGAGAGAGTTTTTGAGGATGTGAAGTTAAAAAGGCTCTGTCTAAATCATCCAGAGGCTTGTGGGGCATAATCTGCTCCTGGGTGTTTTTTTCCACAGCATATTAAATTCTGAACATAGCATAAAATGAAATTTATCAGATTACATTTCTAAAAATCCCTGTATTTCCTAGATATATGTTATTTTACTTGACAATCAATTCTTATTGATTTTTTAAAAGAACTAGCTTCTTTTCCGTCCTTCACAAATTAAGCTGTAGATTCTGTCAACCTGTCAACAACACACACATACACATACACCTATGGACACTACACACACATACACACACCCATACATACACACAAATACACACATACACATACACACACACACATATACATATATATAAAGTCAATTTGTTAAATCCTAAAAATCCATCTTTTCTTTAGAAATTGTGACAAGAATTTTGTAACTTTGTAATCTTAAATTTAAAACAACACAGGTATTGCGCATTGGAAATAAATAGTATAATAAACAAAGCAGGTGTACTGAAAATCCTGCATGGGGAGGGCATGGGGAGACCAGGACAGAGGACATCAGGTGGCCTGGAGGGCTAATGTGTTGTGTGAGGACCACAGGTCATACAGTTGTACTGTATGGAATTCATGCTGAATAAGTAGAGTTTAGCTGGTATTGCCCCCCAAAAAAAATACAGAAAAAAATGGGTAACTGTGAGATCATACATGTTAATTTCCTTCACTACAGTAACCTTTTTACTATATATATATATATATATATGTATCCTATAACATCATTTATATACCTTAAATATACGCAATACAATTTAATTTTAAAAAGATACAGCATTAATGACAGAAACTAGTTTATACGTATTGTCAAAGTGAAGATGTTCTTTAAGGTGTCAAAGAGATCATGAACGGAGACAATGTTTAATGATTTCAGTAGGTGAAAAATATCTTAAGAGATTAATTAACAGAATCTAGTTAAGACGATCCAAAATAAAACAAATACGCATTCATAAAATTTAACTATTAAATGACTGAATTATACAGAAACATTATATTCATTATCTTCTATCTATTGAAATAATTTTTTGATTTTGAAAGTAAGTAACCTGAAAAATTACTGTAATTTATGTACAACATTTTTTAGCTTTCACACAGATATATAAAACACATTTTAATCTTATTTTATTCTAGAAAATTGAGACATGGGATTTGTATTCTTCACCGGGACTGCTATGTGTGTTGCTTATACCATACTGAGCATAACATTGAATTAATTGTCCACAGTCATCTAAATATTCAATGTAAAGGGCCAGGGTTTGATCCATTTATCTTGCCTACGAAGCTCATGTTTACAACTTCCTGCTATCTAAAACTTATATCAGGATACATTTAGAAATGTTCCAGTGAATGAAAATTCTATTTCTATAAGGTGACTTAATCAGAACTTTCTAACAGGTTTGCAATTTCTTGAGATGAGAAACATTTTCCCAGGTGGGAAGGAATTAAGAGGCAGTCTAATGAAAATCATTACTCTGAGCATTAAAATGCACCGTTAAGCTTCAGAGATCCTGTGTGTTTCATGGGCTCGTGATTTCCCAGGATGCTTTGTGTTCCAACCAGAAGTGTCTCCACTTTCTAAAGATGGAAGGGCTGATCACCATGATTTGGACACTTCATAACTTCTACTTACACACAAACTACATATGGACATAATATCCTCCTGTGAATTTCTCCCGACTTCATTATCGTTCACATAACCTTCCTTGATCATAAAATGTACATATATGTAGTCTGCTCGAGGCTCATAGTGTGAAGTCAGTCTCTTAACAGTAACTGAACCATTGTCATTCACGTCTGCTTTTCTTTAGGAACATTTTCATCCATCGGGTCTCAAGGTTGATATTCTCTTAAGTATTAACTCCTCACAGCTGGACAGGTTGTTGTTCTTCTTTGTTTTGTTTTTAACTATATTAGATGAACCAATAAACTTCTATCAGTTGGAATAAATCCAAAATTTGTTCTAAATATTGAATTGCCCTGGACTCAAGTTTAGAATATCTCTTCTCTTTCTGTATTGATCACATTAATATGTACAGACTCTTCTGAAATATTGCATTCCTTACCAAAAAGACTTATCATACTTCATTTATTTCAACTTTTTCTTATTCATTTGTTGCAAATTCTACAGTAAAATAATTTCATGAGTCTGAGGTTGGCCTGGACTCTATTAGAATTACTCTTAGAATTATGCAGAACTTCTTTACAATATATACCCATTTTTTGAAAAACTGAATATATTTTGATACAATAAGAGATATACTGGCATTATCACATAAGAGAGACAAGAAGTTAAGGAAAGCTAATTGTGGCTAATGTTTGTACATTGAATATAAATGTATCCTATACATTTGAGTTATATAAATAAAAATAAGTTTGAATAAAAGGGAAATTTGTAAGTTAAAATTTTATATGTAACACGGAAGACATGTTATAAGCCATAATTGTCTATTATACGTTCAATGAGAGTAGATGTAATGATAAATAGTGTTTTATATGTAATCAATATTAATGTAAGCTGACTTAATTTGTAGGCTAGACAAACCTTTAGAAGCCATTGGAAAATGTATGCTTGCTTAAATAAAATCATTCTGTGCTATTTATAAGGCAACAATGTCAATGCCAGCATGTCTTGTTCCAATGCTGAAACAAGAAAAATGATAGACAAATGTCACAAACTGATGATTTTCCTAAGGTTTTTTTTTTTTTTTTTTTTTTTTCAATGTGCATGGAAATAACAGGGTGAGCAGATAGTGGTCTGGAGGAAATTGCTCAACTTCATCAGACAGGGAAGCAGTAACAGGAGAGTCCATAATGGAGGGGCACCAAGGGTGTTCACCCAACCCCGGGGGCAAGTGCATCCCGGACTAGGGCTCCTGCACAGCGTGCAGCTGCTTGAAGAAGATGCTGGAGGCATTCGGGAGGCAGGACCAGTGAATGGGCTGCTTCAGGCACTGATGGACATCTCTGCCTTCTCTCCTCTGCCTGACAGTCAGCACTGTCCTCACTTTCTGAGACATTTGGGCGGTGAACAAAACACCATGGGTAAACATTCCTTCTTGTATCCTGTTTCCCAAGTGCACCTACAGTAATGAGACAACTGGCGAAACATCTGTAAAACGGCAATGCACGGAAACAGACGTTGAACATATGCACACATACGGCCAGGAGGCTCCTTAGGAATCCAGCAATCACAGACTATCCATGCTTTAGAAGCACGGTTTGTTTAAAATAGGATTCCTTTGTTTTATACTTACTGTCCAATGAAAAAGATATTGTCTTTCTTGTCAGTGTTCTTTTAAACAATTAGGTCATGTTGTTTCTCCTAATTGAAACATCTTTTTATTATGCTTGGTGGTGACTTACAGAGAATACTTCACAGAAGCTGGTTTTAGAAAAGCAGCTCTGATTTATAATGGGTGCGGAATATAACTGCAGGTAAAGTGTCTTCTCTAGAGACTGTTACCCTTGTTCCAAGCAAACATTTCACTATCTTATTATCTGTGAGCTCAGAAAGAACTTGTTTAATATTTCATGTAAACAACCAGCTCCTGGGAGAAAGGGAAAGTCTCATGTGTGTGTGTTTACACATGTGTATGTGTGTGCGTATAACATTTTAAGTTAATAAACTTGAGGATTACAAAGTCTTTTAATGCATGGTGACACCATGTCCTCAGAAAGAAAAGCCCTAAAGAAATTTTGATGAACAAATCCACTTCATGATGACTTCTTATCATACTTTGATTTCTTCAATAAAATTTTGACCATATATATGTAGACAAAATAAGATTATTAAAAATTTCAGGAAAAAGCAATGAATATAAAATTAAATAGTATAAAATTTCTATGCTTTCAGTTTAGTAATTATTATATCAGATACACATTTAAAATTGTCTACTTTTTCATATGTTTTATAAATCTATTGAGATGATGATGTATGTTTCTACTTAACTTACTGCTAACATTATTTATAAGATTCCAGTGTGAAGCCATCTTCATTTTTCATATTCAGGTATCATTTTAATATACTGCAAGATAGAATTTCTAATAATTTAATTAAGCATTTGTCTTCATTTCATAGAGAGATGTTTACTTTTCTTCAGCAAATATCATACCTTTTGCTGTGTTAGCATCAGAGTTATGCAGTATCTCTAATAAAAACTATGTATGTATATATAACTGTAGATACCATATACACATATAATATACACACAGACACACACACATGCCTATGTATCCCATTTTTTAAGCTCAAGAAAAAAACTTAAATATCTTGCTTATATAATCAGTTTCATGAAAGTGCTGACAGCATCTGGAATTTATGCTTGGGAAGGGGTTGTTGAAGTCAGCCATTTGCAATAATTTTTATACTTGCTATTGGAGTATATATTTTTAAGTCTAATTTGAACATTAAATTGCCACTCTCTCATCTGCATTAATTTATATTTGAGTAATCTCTGTAAACATCGGGAATTCCCTTTCAAAAACCCAACAGTCTATGTTTATCTTCTCTTTTTGTTCCATGTATATATTTATATGTGTGTATTATGTTGGCATGTGTTTTTTATTTTAAAACTTTGATAAGTATGTTGTTATTATCCTAACACCAGGCTGGCAGAGTCCTTCCTTTCTTCATTGACTGATTTTTCTCTTTATTTTTTTTTTACTACTTTAATTACTGTATTTTAATAGGATGTTTTCATATTTAGTATTTCAAATCCCTTTTACTGTTCTTTTTCAACATTTTCTGGAGTAATGTTGTACATATTCTTTCTCTCTAATATTAGAGTTTGCTTACTAAGTTCCATTACAAATAACATAGCTGAATTTCTGTATTCTAGATTTTCTAGAGGGGTGATTTAAAATACCTTTATGACGTTAAGTATTTTCAATCAGGAAGATGATCTATCTTTTCATTTATGCAGGGCTGGCTTGGCGTCTTTATTTTCTCCCCCAGATTTTAAGTTTTATGGAGCTAGGGAATGAAGACCATGTCTTACTGCCTGCGCACACCATCGGTGTTGGTTGAACAAACAGAAAGAAGTGTCACGTAGGGAAGGTAGCAGTGACCATATATAACTGAGGAAGAAGCACACACTCCTTTGAGTAATTTTGCCAAGATCTCAGGCTGCTCACTGGCTGAGCTGAGATAACACGCTTGTCTCTGGATCCTCGATTAGTGCTCACTACCTCTGTAAACGCGCAGCAAGCGCGAGCTCGTGAGAAATAATAGGATAGAAGACTTCGCGTCGTAAACTAAGACCTTCCCAACATCGAATTTTTTCCATCACATTTTACAAAGCCTGACTCTTCCTTCAATTGATTCGATACGCTGCCACTGCAAGGACTGATAAACAACAATCTAGTAAAGCCTCAGCCCAAAATGCATGTAATACTTTCGAGCAAACGCACAGCCCCTGAGGTTATAGAACGTTACCGGCTCAACCCTGACCCAGACTGAGGACACTCATTCCCTCCTCATGGCTTTCAGGAGAAAGTTCTAGAGGCAGAGGGCAGCCCGAGAGTGAGGTAGGTGGGTGGGCTAGTTCTGATTTTTTGACTTTGCTGCACAAAAGAATTTGAGAGCGAGTCCAAGAGGAGGCACAGAAATGTATTGTGAAGTGAAAGCCCGCTCTGAGGCAGAACGGGCTGCTCAGAGGCAGAGGCGGCCCCTGGTGCCTCGAGGGGAATTCCTTTCATGGGAACTGCACATCCATCTTCATAAAATACTGGTGAGGTCCGGGAGGCAAAGGTGAACCTGTGGTTGGCGCACGTGCTCAGTGTCTGCCAGCTCCAACACGCACCACATGTGTCATTAGTGTAGAAAATCTCCACTTAGAGGTGTGTTTTTTACTATTAATATGAGGAAAAAAGTAGTGGCTTATTCCTCCATCAGCTTTTTCCACTGTAAGCTAAACCTTAAGCCCAGCTGCACATGCAGGACCCCAGAGAGGCCCCGACCACACCCAAGGCAGGAGTTTGTAGCTAACAGCTTCTTGGGCTTTTGGTGCTGATTGTTGGGAGATTGGGGAGGGGATTCTATCCAAAATAAGGGATCTTTGTTCTCTTTCATGGGTTGTCCCAGGTGACAGGAACTTGTAACCACCTGGTGGTCTGCTGGTATCCTGGAGGACTGCTCATCTTGCAAAAGAGCCGGGTGCGCATTCACAAGGGTGCAAGGGACGCGTGATCCACTAGGACAGGAGCCTCAGGGCTTCCACAGGGAACAAGTCAGTATGCCCTCCCTGCTTCAGGAGCAGAGGGTATGGTTGGATCCCCGTTGTAACCTCTTGCTGTCTCTGCCTTTAGTCTATACTGGGCTGCAGCCACAGTGATAGGAAAGACGTAACACAGGGCTGTTTACCCCGAGCTATCGTGCAACAGGTAGAGAAGACGGCGCCTTTCTCCAACAAGGCACCACATGCACACGTCATCACAGCAGGGCCCCCAGATCAAGTAGCGTGTGCGCATTCCTAAATGCCTACGCTAATTGGAAACTCAACACACTGATACCTTAGGTATTACCACTCAAGTTTTATCTGCAGGAAGTGCGGTAATATTGACTCATAAGTTACTCATCATCATACTAAAATTGACAAAAAGTAAGACAATGTGTTAGCAGCGTTTCTTTGCAGAATATCTAGCTTCACAAAAAAAGATAAGCTGAATCATTTGACATAGTAATTAGTAGCTTATGGCACACACTCTACATATAATGTACATATATAATTTTAAATGTACTTTTAAATGTTTTATCACAGAAATATTTGAACATCATTAAAAAAATAATAAATGAAAACTTCTGTCTTCCACCCCCTCTGAAGCATCCTTATCCCCATTTCTGTGCCCCCAAAGATAACTACTAAAATCATTTAATCATTTCTGATATTAAATCACCATGTCCCTAAGTAATAGCTTTATGCTGCTTAATATGAGAAATTATAACCAATATCCCCATGTACTGAGGACTCAGCTACTCCCCATTTTCCCCAGTTCCTCTCCAATATATAGAAATGTTACTCTTTTTAGTATTTTCCACATTCATTATTAAGACCACATGTTATTTCTTCTTCCATTATCTATAGGTACTATCTACTGATTTTTATTTTGTGATATTAATGCTCTTTTATTACTAGGCAAGCTTATAAAATTATCACCAGTTAATATCACAGAGTGTTGCTCAACTTTATATATGTATAAAAGCCCTATTATAGAAATTTCACAGGAAATAACCGTGTCTTAACAGATGGGAAAGAACGGAATACTTTTAGTCAGGGTGGGTTTTCAGATTTTGCCATATCCAAATCACCAACAAAAATGTCTGATAGTTTTTGAAGCTTCCTTGCAAAACAATCATGGTTCAGTCATTATTATTATGGTGAAACATCTTTAGCCAGCACTCTCTATCAGAACAATAAATGGGATTTAAATGGAGAGCTGTTCCCAAAGATTCCTATTTTCTGTCTCTATTTCTGTGTTTCTGAACAGTTACACTGAACAGTTCTTTGTATATTAAAAACTAGGCTATCAAAATATAATGCCAATTTAAGGTACAACAATTACTTACATTACTGTTACTGGGAGGAAAAAAAATGATGTAGTAAATTAATCTTTGTGCAGCAAAGTACTCCTTAAAATAGGTTTTCAGTGTGGATGGTAATGAACTATTGCTATCTCTATGGAACAGACATCTTGAAATAACTATGTCCAAAGTTGTTTAAAATCCGTTCCTGAAAATTTCAGTTTCAGCAAGGCAAGGAAGACTGATTTCTCACTTATAACACCAAACAGCACAAGCCTGTGATTTAGTTTTTTTCCCCAATCCTTTGCTCAATGTAGGGAGCTCCTGAATCAGCTGTGACTTTTACATGCTTTGCTGTGACCTTCCACTGATAATCATAATAATGTTTGGCTGCCAAGTACCCATCAGCTTCATAAAGTCAGCAGCCTTCAGATTCATCTCATAGCATTAATTTTACAAGTTAAAAAGACAAGCAAGACAGACGTGATGGCTTTCAGCATTATTTGCTCCCCTAAAATATTTCCTATGAACAATAAACAAACAAATCTCCAATTTGGTGAAGCTATAAACTTTCAGGCTTCAGAAAAATTAATTTAAATGGATGTGGCAGTGAGTTTGGGCTTGTAAAGATTAGGGAGACGTCTGTTGCTGTAATTGCCTGTGCGGCGCCTCCGTCACTCAGGAGTGCCCAGGCGGCAGTAACAGCGCTCATCAGAATCTAATTCTCAGATCAAATTCCCGTCTTCAACATATCCTTTAATAAGCCTTCCACTCTCCATCTTTTAGCCTTAATTATTGCTCCCTGTCTCCCTTGACAACCAAATTAAAAGGTACAGCTACAACTCCGTAATGGCAATTGTCATAATAACACTTCAAAAATCACAAGCTGCTCCGCGGCAAATCCAGGCTCACCTTGTCAAGGTTGGGTGTCTTCTGATAACTAGATTTTCTATGGATAGCTTCAGCACTGGAAGATAAGAAATACAATTATATAATCTTTTATTGATTTTTTTTTTCTTTTGCTCCCCCTTAGTATTATGTACAATTACCTGGGCAGTTTTTAGAGTGTTAAAGCTGGAAGTGGAAAATTTACAAAGATTCACTGAAGCGGAATGTTTTAACTCTTTGCTGAATACAGTTATTTTTGTTGAAAATTAAAGCCATGATAGAGAGCACGGTGAAAGACTTTTGGTTTTGACTCTGGGCTGCCTGGGTGTATCTACTGACTTTAGCTGTTGTGTGACTTTGTGAAGGTGGCATGATCTGATGCATGAACCTCCCTGTCTTTACTTGTGAATGTGAGTAAAGCAAACTATCATAGCAAAAACAGACCGATTCTACTTTTAATGTGTTATTTTCGACCATGGTTATAAACTTTTCCTTATGCTCTTCCTGAAATGACTTTGTCTTCAAGAGATATATCTACAGACTCCTTGTCTTTCCTAGTGGCATGAACTTCCCACTTTAGGTTTTATTTTCTTTGTAAGCAAAGGATTGACCTCTGATGGTTAACACTTGGAACTTTTTTTAACCACTGACTTGTCTTTTTATTGCTCCGTGGCTCTTCCCTGACCGGCACCATCTTCCATGGGCTCCTATATTTGAGGAGGTGGTTAGTGGTGATGGCTGCGACTGGCGGGTGGTGATGGCTTTTGCCGGTGGGGGTGATGGCTTTTGCTGGTAGGTGTTAGTGGCTGATGGCTGTTGCTGGTGGTAGTGGTTGAGGCTGTAGCTGGTCATGGGTGGTGATGGCTGTTGCTGTTGGGTGGTGATGGTTGTTGCTGCTGGTAGTGGTGATGGCTGTTGCTGGTGGTGGGTGGTGATGGCTGTTGCTGGTGGTGGGTGGTGATGGCTGTTGCTGGTGGTGGGTGGCAGTGGTGATGGCTGTTGTTGGTGGTAGTGGTGATGGCTGTTGCTTGTGGTGGGTGGTGATGGTTCTTTACAGTTAGTGGGGATGTTTACAGTTGTTGGCAAGGTTCTTATGAGCCATTTCACAGAGTAGCCTTGACTAAAACCACATCCTCTCACTACTCAGCTCCGTTTTTATTTTTCTCCATCATTTTCTCCTTAATGTCTTCTCCCTCACTTGTCCTGCCCATAGACTCTCAGTTTTGTAAAAACGACATCTAGGCTTCTGTAAATTCAGAATAATGTGACTGCCATCTTGCATAATTTATAGAAAGCCTTCCAGCCTCAATGAGTGATGTCTGAGGAAAAACATCTGAAGCATTTCTCAGATTTTTAAAATTTTGTATAACATTTGGTGATCTATGTAATATCACATATTCACATCATTGCAGTCATGGCTGGGCTTGACTGAATTTTTCATTTCTTGTGCAGATATTGATCATCAGAAAGGCAGTTAGAGAGAGAGCTCCTGAGACTGTAAAGGGTGTTTTCTGGAGTCACTTTTTCAGAGAGCTAATGAAGGGGTGAGCATAATCCAATGGAGATGGATTTATTTATCCAGGAAAGATGCATGAGGAGGGGAGTGGAATTTACTTTGGCACTAAGATAACAGATACAAACTAAATGGCTCTGTCAAATATTATCAGGGTGGGCCACAGTAGGAATCGTATGAGCAAAAATCTTTTAAATAGCTCACCTGACACAGCAGTCAATTTGGAATAAAAAATAGCAACGTAATTGTGGATTGCGGCTGGAAAAGTCAAGGACAGTGGAAGCAAATATGTAAGGCAGTGTTTTTGTAGATAAGGAGAGCCTGCAAGAAGGCAAGAACTCTAAACCTGGAAGCCTTTAATTACTCAGATACCAGTATTGATTGGGATAGCAACTGCTGGAAATGAGGGCCGGAGATCGGCTTGTAAAAGAAGGGCAGGGCTGTTTTCTTAAGCAGTTTATTGAACTATCTACATGGTCTCAGGCGATCCTAGCTCTAATCCTACCAAACAGGAGGAGCCTCGGGGGAGCGAAGATGTGATGAGACCTTGACTGATGAGTGGCTTCTCCTAGACAGAGATGATTTATGGTGAGAAAACACAAACAAAGGCAGGGTGAAGAAATGTCAAAGAAGATTAAAAGTTAAAGGAGAGCTCACAAGTCACTGACTGGGAAACAATTCGAAAGTGATGGGGGCGTTTAAAAATAGCCCTGTGATGACTTGAGAACTTACAAACATAGCTCCATGATAAGTGAAGAAAACGCACTGAGTGAATGCTGAGAATATCGACCATATACTGGAGATGCTTATACAGCAGCCATTTCATCTCCCTGGCCACTTATGAATTATATTCTATTTTCCACATGATTTAGAGATGAACTTGCCGATGTCCAGGAGGAATAGGAAATTTCCTTTAAGTCATAGTTAATAGCCAAGACAGGCCAGCCTTATGTTGATTAATAAAATACAAACTGCCACCATGTTAAAAAAGCTGATTTCTTAGGAAGACTTGTAAGGCCATTTTAGATATTGATATATATTGGTTATTGGATAGTTTAAGCGACCATGGTTCAAACAAAGATTCGTTTTTATCTAGGTAATTCAAACTCTAGGATTTGCATTTTCCACAAGGTCTGTGTGTTTGAGAATCAGATTGTCATAGTACATGACAGAAAATATGAAATCAGAACCCAGAGGTACTGATGTGAACCTAAGCCTCTCTAGATTCTCCTGAATGGGTTTGGGAAGCTGCCTAACCACCTGTGCTTCAGGATCCTCACCTGTAATACGGATAATAACAGGGGTTCTCGATGGCACTTTGATGAGGAATTTGTTAAGTTAATATTTATAAAGGGGTTAGGAGACTGCTTGGAATATGTGAAGTAGGTTGTAATAAATCTTTAATAATAGCAATGACTAGCCACGTGATTGCTATTTTCAAGGCTTCAAAAATGGCTTAGTGTCCAGGATGAATGTTTAATTTGCACTTACCCATTTGAAAGCAGACACGGAATTTCTTTTTTTCAGGTAATTGAAAGGATGAATAGTTGACCAGAATTAGGAGTGCACAGATCTGGGGACAAGTCCAAATTTGGCAATATGTTTCTTGCATCAACACTGGCAAATTTTCTTTCATTTCGAGCCCAAGTTACATCAAAGGCTTTTTTGATGCTCTAATAAGATAACCTATATACTCATTTATTTATTCAACAATATTTATTGCAAGGCACATGTACAAAGTATGTTCTTAAGAGCTACTGTGAATATCTATACATCTATCTACTTACTCACCTATGTATCTACTAAATTAGCTATATATATAAAAAAGAAAAAATATTTTGTATCTGTGCATTATTATAAGTATTCAAAAGGTATGAAATCTCTATGAAATTTAAACTGTGAACTAAAATAATTATGAAATTGTCAATATAAACTTATAGATGTAACAACTCCTCAGCATCTACGAATACACCCTCTGATAAAATACAAGCATGTATCACTTACACCCAAATTTAATAGTTTATTTTGATTCAAACAAGGGAGGATTTTCTATAACTAGAGGGCTTTGTGCAATATTCTGGAATGAGGTACATCTCTGGTTTTCCAAACATCTTTATCGACCCTGGATGTTAGGGGAGGCCCAGGCTGCTGCGGGCTATCAGAACGTTGTTCTGATCATTACATAGCCCCTCCAGACCATGTGCCCAGAGATTCACAGTCCCCTGATCCGGGATGGGGGTCGAGGTCTCCATTTGAAGGAAATCTGGACGTGACTCTTAGGATGTGAATGGGGCTAAAGCTCTGGTGACCTTTTCTGACAACAGCTGCATCCAAGGGTCTGGGAGATGACCAGGCACACACACATGGTCAAATGTCTTTGTGAACTCTGCAAACGTAGGATGTTTCTGTTCTTACTAAAGACCTTCCTTTGGCCATGACTTTCCCACCATCACACTTCCTTTTGTAATGGGCGTGGCTGTTTGGGAGAATTCGTTATGGGAAACTGACTTGGTAATACATTTCTTTTGAGTGAGACGTCGGTCTGTGACTTATCTGGGGTCACTTCTGAGTTCAGTTTGGTGAAGCCGCTTCCTGCTGTCTATAGGGATAGTTTCTGCCTATAGGGATAGCTCTGGCCTGTTCCTCTCTAGGTTGATTCACAGCACCAGGACCCTGGCAGCACCCACGTATTACCGGTGGCAGAGACCTGAGTTACCAGCTCAAATCCCAATGGGTTCGTAGCAACTTCAGCCCTTGTCTCCTCAGAAAAAAGAATTTGACTAATTTGACTGAGGGGCATAAAGCAGGAAAAGAGACGGAGGCAAGTTCTATGGCAGGAATGGAAGTCTACTTAAAGAGGGCTTATAACAGGAAAGAACGAAAGGTGCCCTGGCACATGAAGGTTAAAGAGAGGTCAAGTGTCCGGTTTAACCGTGATCTTAAGATTTTGATAGACTCACCCCTTTTCCATGATTCTTCCCTCAGGGTGCACTGTCCGCATGCGCAGAGCCCTCCTTGCCCTGGGAAATGCGCATGCGCAGTGTGCTTAGGGACGGACAACACAGGTCCCGCTGAGGTTTCCTTCCCGTTTCCGGTGCTGTGTACCCTCAAGATCCTACATCGCCATTTTCGTCTCTTAGTGCGCATCCACAGAAAGTTTCTTCTCCCTGAGGCCCGCATTCAATGAACATTTTGATGTTAATAGGTGTGGACCATCAGGAAAGGGCGCCTCCCCGGCACTGCTGGATTATCACCCTCAGAGAGGCAATGCAATTATTGCTGAACCATCACCCGATGTTTCTCGTGGGTGGGGGAGAGCCGTCTCCTGCCCCTCTCAGCCAGTCCAACCACCTGTCACACACGTGCGGAGCTCAGTGGCTTTCCGTGCTGGGGCACAGGCAAGACAACACGTAGAGGATGCAGAGGAAACGGGGTTAGAAATGTGCAGAGCCAGGACAGGTCCGTGGAAAACACACTCAAACCTCATGGGTCTACACCGGACATTTGGTGGAGGGGTTTTTTCTTGTTTCTTTTTTTATTTTTTTTCAAAATTGATAGTAGTCCTGGATTATTTGCAGGACATGACCAATATCACATCTATGTTATATGGAAAACAATTTATTTGTACCTATTACTAACAAACTTTAATAAGTGTGTTAGAAAAGTGGACGTGAACTTTCTACTACTTGTGTAGTAAGTGACGTTACAAATCAAAAAGAGATGAAAAAGTATGAGCCAAAAAATATAGGAAAGATGTGTTAGTGAGATATTTCAGACAATTGATACAAATACTATAATATTTTCTGGATTTTATAATTTTATGATATTCAGTATGATTTCATTTCTAACACTAAGTAGCTACCTTCCTAATTTATATTCACAATTTTGTTCTTTTTTCTTAAAGAAAATCTTCTCTAATTTATAATGTTCAGTCACTATAAAAACTAAATTCACCCCTGAAGAAAATCCAGATGATTTTAAAGCACGTTGTGCATGACTATTTGAAAAACATGCTACAGAAGAGGGGTCAGCAAACTATGGCTTGCAGAACAAAGCTAGCCCACTGCCTACATTTATGAAAAAAAGTTTGATTGGAATACAGCTGTGCCCATTCATTTTCATATGGTCTATGACCGCTACAGAGTTGAACCAGTGTAGACCTTACGGTCTCAAAGCCTAAGCTATTTACTCTTTTGCCCTTCACAGAAAAAAAAAAAAAAAAAAAAACCAACAACACTGCTACTTGGTCTGGGTCAATATCTACATATGGTCCTTCAGATCTGTAAGGTCACAGTTTGAGAGTCTGCTGTTAATGTTTTAAAATAACACATGTTTTATATTAACTGTGCCTCATTATATGATAATAAATATCTAGAAAAACGGGAAAAAATACAGAAGCTCATTATTAGGGCAAATAAGTCAATCTTCATACTAAAATAAAATGTTGCTGTTTTTTCTCCGTACACTTATTTCCTGAGATTCTTGCAAGCTTTAATGTAGTTAATTTGTCTCATGCCTACTTATTGTATAAAAATTAGTTCTTCTGATTTCTAATTCATACAGACTTACTTTCTCATTCGATAAAAATATTTTTATAGATTGAAATTCACTTTGTATTTTTAAAATTAAAAGCATTGAGTTAATCGTAAATATTTATCTAACAAATCTATTTCTTAGATGTATCTATCATGATAAAATCTCAGAGACGTCGCCCAAGGATCTGCTTCTCTTTACACAGGACTGTTTTCCTTTCTGTGATATCAACATGTAATAAAACATATACATGTTGAATTTTAAATACTTAATTTTAATAATTTAAATGTTTCTAACTTTTACATTTCCCACCCAAATTCCTTAAGAGTTTGTTTAGGTAAAGTATTTCTAAATGAAAGAGTATACCTTTAAACGGAGGAGGCACTTTGCAAACATATGACACATTTGGCATAGTCTGAGAACACACATACCGTTGCCCTAAAAGTAATTTTTCTTTGTTTTTGCCCTTGAAAAGGGAGGGAAAAAAATACATCCAAAATGTGTTTCTAATTGCTGTATGGCTTAACTTTTTTTTCCGCATCAAATTTTTTTTGCATAAAGGGTCTTTCCTCTCTGACAGAGACAGCTTTTATACTTGATTGATGTTACAGTGAAGTTGTCATTAGAACTGAAAAATTAGCCCTGCCATGAAAGGTAAAGAAGCACAGATGACAGGGCAAAATATTTTTCTGCATCACTTTGAGGTCTGGTGAAATGAAAAGCAGTATTTTCACAGAAGCCATCCTCTCCCAGTCATAGAACAAAGGATACCTTTGCTGATGGATAAGCCAAGCTTCACTCTGGATTTCACTCCCAGGACTGTGTGAGGACGATGGCTTCACAAAGCTCTGATCACAACCATCTCTGTGTGGCATGAAGCTCTTAGCATGAAAACATCTCTAATATCATCAGGGAATTCACAGAAGGGAGGTGTAGCCTCAAAAGGAAAACAGTCCTGTGTAAAGAGAAGCAGATCCTTGGGCGAGGTCTCTGTTCTGAGCTGCAATCACAAGTTTTTCTCCTCAAGTTGGGGCCACACACCTCCAACTCTTATCTCAGTGAATCCACAACAAAATAATTTCCTTACTTCAGGCGTGAGATAAAAATAAATCACATTCTAGGATAGTGTGGAAATTCAATGAAGATCAAAGATATGTACTTTCTCCAACAATACTTTACATTCTCACAATTTCTTTGGGATTTTATTTTTTTTTTTTGAGATCTGATTCCAAGAATACTATTTGGCATTTACATTAAGAATGCACATTTAATAAATAATGTGATAATGAATATAAGGGTGGGTCTGTATACACATGCGATTAAAAATAATTTTGCTAGGTCTCAACGAAGGAGGAAAAAGGAAGATACAAGGTTAAGAATTCACTAAGAAACAGGGTGTTTGGAGATTTCTGAAAAGTTTTACTTGAAGTGGTATTAAGAATATTTCATGTAAAAGTAGGTTATGTCTTTCAGCCCTTTTGTTACAGGATCTCGTGCAAGAAAGAATTCAGGGCGAGTCCATAAAGTGAAAACAAGTTTATTAAGAAGATAAAGGAATAAAAGAATGGCTACTCCATGGAGCAGCCCCAAGGGCTGCTGGTTGCCCATTTTTATGGTTATTTCTTGATGATATGCTAAACAAGGGGTGGATTATTCCTGCCTCTCCTCTTTAGACCATATAGGGTAACTTCCTGATGTTACCATAGCATTTGTAAATTATCATGGGGCTAATGAGACTGTAACAGTGAGGACAACCAGACGTCACTCTTGTTGCCATCTTGGTTTGGGTGGATTAGAGCTGGCTTCTTTACTGCAACCGGTTTTCTCAGCAAAGGTCTTTATGATCTGTATCCTGTGCTGACCTCCTGTCTTATCCTGTGACTTAGAATGCCTTAACCATCTGGGAATGCAGCCCAGCAGGTCTCAGCCTTATTTTACCCAGTCCCTATTCAAGATGGAATTGCTCTGGTTCACATGCCTCTGACAGTTTTATGGCAGAAAACCATATCTATGAATCAACCTAGGAAATCTCACTCAAAATGCTATTGCTAAAAGAAAGAATATAACAAGACCATTACGTGAAGCAGAAGGATTTCCAGCTCTGTGTGGTCGTGCAAGTAAGTAAAGTGTGTTCCTTGCACCTCATGTGGGTCTGATCATTGGTCAGCTCTGAGCTATTACTGTTCTCTTCCTTCACACCCAGTTTGAAGTATATTTTCCTTGACTCTTCAAAGTAGATGGCATGTCACTTTTTAAATGTTCTTTCCCCAGATGAATTCCCATGATGTAGTCATCATCTCATCCTACCACATCTTCCCTTCTTTCCTATAACTGAGATAAAAGAAAACAAAATGAAAAATTCATAGGAAAACCAAAGTGTCCTGTGTTTATCCTTTGAAAATATTGATGATGATTAGGTGGAAATAAATTAGAGCACAGCATATATGAAGTGTCAATAAGTCAATTACAGGTGTTGGGGGAAGATCTTAAAAAACTGCATGTTGAAATGTAAATGGAGTTGGTTTTTTTTTTTTTTGATAAATGGCACATAAATGTTTGACAATGGTCATATAAATAATGAGAAAACATTGAGAGAATAGCTTCAGATAGTGTTACAAAATTATAAAATCCATGACCCATAAAGAAATTTACAAGAAAAAACTGCCACATTAATGGTGGTTGAAATATTATCTTTTTTTCCATACATTCATAGATGTAATTTTTTCTACTTTTTATTGACCCCAAATGCTCCATTTTTCTTATCTTAAAGAGCAGCCAGCCGGGCGCGGTGGCTCATGCCCGTAATCCCAGCACTTTGGGAGGCCAAGGTAGGTGGATCACCTGAGGTCAGGAGTTCAAGACCAGCCTGGCTAACATGGTGAAACCTCATCTCTACTAAAAATATTAAAAAATTAGCTGAGCATGGTAGCACAAGACTGAAATCCCAGCTACTTGGGACGCTGAGGCAGGAGAATCACTTGAACCCAGGAGGCGGAGGTTGCAGTGAGCCGAAATCGTGCCATTGCATTCCAGCCTCAGCAAAAAGAGGGAAACTATGTCTCAAAAAAAAAAAGAAAGAAAGAAAGAAAGAAAAAAAAATCAAGTAGTCTTGGACCCTGAAGCAAGTAAAATATTGATTAGCCATTGCCAAAGTTTCAGTGTTACTAACTCGTTGTATATTTGCACTTAAAGCCCTATTGTGCTCAAAGGAGCACTGTATTTTATACCATTTGATAGAATTCAGAACATGTTTGTTTGCTTCTGCAAAAATATAATAGGGAAAGTTGACCAGAGACAAAATCTAATGTTATTTTTTTCAGTGTACATTAGCTATTGTTGATTACTTTACTCATCATTAGTTAAGTGCCAAATCTGCCTGCGTTTATGCTACAAGAAGAGATATAAATCCTTTTATAACAGGGATGACACTGAAAATTAGGCTAATGGCAACAAAAGCTGACATTTATTGAGTGCTTGTTATGTGTCAGACACAATTCCAAGTGCTTTTTCCTGTTCGAATCCATTTAAAAGTACATACCAACAACTTCATGAGGTACAGACTGTAAAGCAAAAATAAAATTGTTAGTCCGCCGATGGACTGAACGGCCCCGCCTTCTTGGCCGAAGGAATTGCAAAGAGACCTGAAAACTAGTTCAGGCCATGACAGGAAGGGAGAGGCAGACATGCCTCATTACACCCTGCTCCCTCTGGAATTCAGGCACAACTGACCAGCATTCACGTTAAAACAGAGATCTGGAGACTGACAAAGCAGGCTCTTTGTAGCAGTAAGACACCAAATCCCAAACTGACTCTGGTATAGCACCACATGACACATCGCAGACCCTAAAGCAAATCCAAGTATTTTACCACAAAAAATATTTATTTGGCAATTTTGGAATGGCCTGCAAAGCCATCTCTTATGGGGGAAATTTGCAGTCTGTAAAAAGCGCAAGTAAAAGTACAAGTGTAAAAAGGATGCTGGTCCCTCCCTAGGTCTTTTCCAGAGAGCCGACACCTTCTAAGGTCCAATAAGAGACATTTTTAAAAAAATTTTATTATTATTACACTTTAAGTTTTAGGGTACATGTGCACAATGTGCAGGTTTGTTACATATGTATACATGTGCCATGTTGGTGTGCTGCACCCATTAACTCCTCATTTAGCATTAGGTATATCTCCTAATGCTGTCCCTCCCCCCCTCCCCCCACCCCACAACAGTCCCTGGTGTGTGATGTTCCCCTTCCTGTGTCCATGTGTTCTCATTGTTCAATTCCCACCTATGAGTGAGAACATGCGGTGTTTGTTTACCTTCTATTCTCTCTGAAGCCTGTTACCTGGAGGCTTCATCTACATGACAAGAGCCTGGGCTTCCACCACCCCCACCCCCTTGTCTTAACTCAAGCATTTCTTTATGCTGACTTTAACTCTCTAAGCAGGGCTTCACTCTTTCAACCAACTGCCCATCAGAAAATCTTTGAATCTACCTAGAACCTGGAAGATCCCTGCTTTGAGATGTCCTGCCTTTCCAGGCTGAGCCAATGTGTAACTTGCGTGTATTGATCTATGTCTTTGCCTGTAACGCCTGTCCGCTAAAATGTGTAAAACCAATCTATAACCCAACCACCCAGGGCACATATTCTTCGGACCTCCTGAAGCTGTGTCCCGGGCCATGTTTCTCTAATCTGACTCAGAATAAACCTCTTCAAATATTTTACAGAGTTTGGCTTTTTTTTGTGAACAGGGCTATTTTTATTCCAATTTATAAGTAAGGAATTCAAAGCAGGTATTATATATCAGATGTTGCCTTACAAAAATGTCAGTACCATGTGAATCTTCATCTTCCTAGACCAGCCTGGGCAACATGGTGAAATCCCATCTCTATTAAAAAATACACAAATCAGCTGCTTGGTGGTGTGCACCTGTAGTCCCAGCTACTTGGGATGCTAAGGTGGGAGAATGACCTGAGCCTGGGAGGTCCCGAGCCTGGGGAGGTCGAGGCTGCAGTGAGCCAAGATTGCACCACTGCACTCCACCTTGGGTCATAGCCAGACCCTGTCTCAAAAATAAAGAGATAGACAGATAGCCAGATAGATAGATAGATAGATAGATAGATAGATAGATAGATAGATAAACAGAATAAAACTCAATGCATTATAACAAACACAGCACCACACAAGTCAGGAAACCCAACGTGCTAGCACTCCACTCTAGAACCTCTTCGAGGGCTCACTCCCCATCTCTTCTCTCCTGACTTATGAAAATTACTGACTTACTTTTCCTTGTAATATTACACTCTCACATTTGTTCCTCAACACTGGAGTTTCATTTTTTTCTATTTATTTTTCTTTTATAAAGGCAGAATTCTAGGTGTTCTTTATTTTTGTGAGAATCACCTATTTTGTTGCATGAGTGGTATTTTATTTGTTGTGATTGCTGTACTCCACTAAATGAACGTACCACAATATATTTGTCTGTAATCACTTTTGAGGTAATTTTTCCAGTTTATGGCTTGAATAAAAAATACTGTCTTAAGCATTCTTATACATGTATCTTCAAGCATATGTGAACATATTTCTGTTGGGAAATAGATTTGAAAATAGTATCTCTGAGTCTTAGAACATGAATTTATTCATGTTTAGTAAATTACGCAAATTTGTTTTCAGGAGTGCTTGTAAATGTTTCACATTGCATATTTTCTGCATTCAAAGCCATTGCCAGTCATATATTTTGTAAAAAAAAAAATTTTAAGATGGAGTTTCACTCTTGTTGCCCAGGCTGGAGTGCAATGGAGTGATCTCAGCTCACTGCAACTTCTGCCTCCTGGATTCAAGCGATTCTTCTGCCTCAGCCTCCTGATAGCTGGGATTGCAGGCTCCTGCCACCACACCCAGCTAATTTTTTGTATTTGTAGTAGAGATGGGTTTCATCCTGTTGGTCAGCCTGGTCTCAAACTCCTGACCCCAGGTGATCCACCTGCCTCAGCCTCCCAAAGTGCTGGGACTACAGGCATGAGCCACCGCCCCTGGCCTGTAAATATATTTTACCCGCTGTGGTGTGCCTTTTTATTCTATCCATTTGTCCTTTGGTAAGTAAAAGTTCTTAATTGTAGCATTGTTAAATTTATCAGCATTTGCACTTACAGTTAATGCTTTTAAGTCCTATTCAAGGTGACTTTTTTAATCAAAAATGAAAATATTTTAGAATCTAAAAGATATATTTATCCTATCTTTCTTACTTACATCTATAATACTTCCTATATTTATACGATGTGAAGTAGGAAGCTATGTCTTAGAGATTTAAGTATATGTGTGTGTGTGTGTGTGTGTGTGTGTGTGTGTGTGTATATACAAAATACATAAAAAATGCAAATATATATATTTTTTACTATGACTATACAATTAACCAAGTTCTGCTTATTGAAAAGGCCATAATTTTTCCATTGACTGCAGTGACAGTTTTGTTTTGAGTCTATGGTTTTTATGAATGGGTATGATTCTGGGTTTTCCATTCAATTTTATTGTAGTATTTCTCTATCATTGTAGAAACACCATATTATCTTTTCTTTTTTTGTCTTAAACCGGGGGGTATGCTTCCTCCATTTTATTTATTTTGTTTTATTTTTCTTTACTGGTATCTTTTATAACTGAACTTATTCATACTCTTTGGAAGCCATTCCTTCAGCTACAAAATATTCACTTCCTTGAAGAAAGGAAAATATTTTTTATTATTTTTCAGAAAAAGACAAAAAGAGCCCTTTATTCATCTGTTCATGATGACTCAAAAACATGGAACGCTTCACAAATTTGCATGTCATCCTTGCGTTGGGGCCATGCTAATCTTCTCTATATCAAAACACCATATTATCTTAATTGCTATAACTATAAAAATCTTGGTATCCAGTAAAACAAATTATTCCACAATTTGCTCCTTCTTTAAAATTTGTCTATTTCTGACCTTTTCATCCTCGTGGAAATTTTAGCATTTTCTTATCAAATTGTACAGGGTAATCTACTGAGATTTGCATTAGAGTTGTAAGTAATCTATTTGGGGAGGATAATATTTTTATATTTTCATTGCTTTGATTTTCATATGAAGGCAATACTGGTCTCATGACAAGATCATTAGTATTCTGTATTTTAATTTTGGAAAGAGTTTTCTAAATTTGGAATTACTTAATATTTTGTAAACCATGTTGAATTACAGTTTGGGGGAATTTCTTCATTGGAATGTTTTTAAATAAAGCTTAAATTGCACTGCAATTTTTAGGCCTTTCAGATTTTCTATTTCTCAGTCAGCTTTGCTGATTTTCCATTTTTTCTGGGTACTTGAACATTTCATTTAAATTCAAAATATTAGCTTAGAGACAATCAAGATTATCTTCCTCTTTTATTGTTTATTCTGTCTACCTTTATCTTCATAGTAAGTATTGAAATAAGAACTTAGAAGTTCTCCAAAATTATTATTTTTTAAGTTTTCTTTTTTTTTTTGGTTTTGGGGTACCTCAATTTTCCATGTGAATTTTAGGATCATTTTATTACTTAATGCAAAAACAAAGGTAGGTTTCAATAGTAATTGTATTCAATCTGTACATCATCTTGGAGCATATTGTCATCTAAACAATATAGAAATTCCAATCAGTGAGCATAGACTAGATTCCATTCAATTGGGTTTTTAATTTATTTCAGTGATGCTTTGCAGCCTTCACTGTACACATATTCACTTCTTTTGTTAAATTTATTTTAAAATGTTTCATTTTGGATGCTATTTTAAATAAAGTTACAATTGATTTTTTATACTGATCTTGTAGGCTACAATCCTGCTGGTTGTATTTATTAACTTTAAAGGTTTTTTTTGTGGATTCATTATGATGTTTTATAAATTAGATTGTCCTTGCAAATAGACATGGATTTACTTCTTTACTGTCAATCTGGATGCTTTACTTGACTACTTGCCCTTGCTAGAAATCAAGTAGAATTTGAGTATAAATTGTAAGACAGGGCATTTCTGTCTTATTGTTGACCCCCAAGGGGCTCTCATGACTAAGAATAACATTAGATATGGGTATTTTGAGATACCCTTTATCAGTTTGAGGGGCTCTATTCCATTCTTGGTTGTTGAGTATTTTCATCATAAATGGGTGTTGGATTTTAACAGATTTTTTTTCTGTGTCTATAGAGATGATTATGTAATTTTGGGCTTTTGTTTTCTTGATAAAATACATTACTTCAATTAATTTTCTAACAGGAAACCAACCTTGCAGTTTTGGGGAAAGTCTCACTTGGTCATTTTCTTAGACTGTTTTCTGATACTATAACAGAATACCATAGACTGGGTAATTTATAGAGAATAGAGATTTATTTGGCTTCTGGAGGCTGTGAAGTCCAACAGCATGGCACCAGCATCTGCCCAGACATCTGGTGAGGGTCTTCTTGTTGCCTAGTTACATGGTGGAAGGTGGAAAGGCAGAAGCAAGACATGGGACAGAAAGAACAATAGGGGGCTGCTTTTATTACAAACCCACTCTCACAATCACTAACCCATGGCTGTAATAATGGCTTTAAGTCATTCATGAGGACTTGGCTTTCATGACCTAATCACCTCTTAAAGACCACAGATATCAACACTGCTGCATTGGGGATTAGGTTTTCAACACATAAACTTTTAAGGAAACTTAAAAGTTGAAACCATAGCTATCATGCTCTATAGTCTTTTAAATATGCTGCCGAATTCTATTTACCAGTGTTTTATTGAGATTATTTTAGTCTCTCTTCATAAGGCTCCTTTCCCTTAAATTTATTTTTATTATTTTCCATAAAAATAATATATATTTTATCTTTTGTACCCCATCAGTGCAGTCTTATAATTATTACTTTATCTAATTTTTTTCAAATCAAACAAGAGAGATAATGTCATTAACAAAAAATATATTTATATTGTCTTTTTTACTTAACTATGCAATTCCTTTCATCAGTGCCCTTTGTTTCTTCATGTAGATTTGAGTTACTGTCTAGGGTCATTTTATTTCTGCCTGAAGAGCTACCTTCACTATTACTTGCAAGACTAATAAAATGACTAATTATTTACGTTTTGTTTTGTTTTTGTTTTTGCTTTTATCTTGCAATGTGTTTTCTCCATTTGTGAAAAGAGTTGTGCTGCACAGATAATTATTGGTTAATGGCCTCTTTCTTTCTTTCTTTCTTTCCTTCTGTGCTTTCAATACATCAACCTACTGACTTCTGGACACCATAGTTTCTGAAGATAAATAAACTGTAATCTCATTGAGGCTTCGTTGTATGCAATGAGTTGATTCTCTCTTGCTGTTTTCAATGTATTTTCTCTGTCTTTGGCTTTTTACAAGTTTTTATGGCATGCCATGGTGTGCATTACTTTACAACTCTGCCTCAGCCCTCACTTCGTGTTTGTGCAGAGCCTTCAGGTTCAGCAGAAGTGAGTGTGTATGTCCTTCTCTGTCCTGCCCTGAAGATCGCACAGCCCTGGCCATGTGCAGAGACCCAAGCTTGTGCTTGGGCTTATGGATGCCCAGGAGCCAATGCAGCTTCTGAAAGCTCCCAGGAATACCTTCTTCCCCAGATTTCACTTTCAAGGTTTCGACTTAGCTTGTTTTTGTTTCAAGGGTTCTCCCAATCTCAGGCAGCTATGTTATTGAACAGTTACTTTTGTTTGTTTGTGTTTTTGACAAACACCCTCTGAGAAAAGGCTGTTCACCCTGGGCAATGTCTGCACCAGGTGAACGGAAGACAAGCCTTACAAATGAGACTTTCTACAGCAAGTCCAGACAGGTCAGATGATGACAGTCGTCTGAGATTGGGACTTTGAAAAAGGCCAAGTTCCGTTCTAAGCCTTTGAGTGGCTGCTTTGCTGCTAGTTGTGATCACAGCATTTGATTTTCAAGGCTGTCATGGAGCTAGCAGAGGGTGATGTGAATAGAGCAAGTAAAAATATCACAAAACTCACTCTTCTACCCAGAGTTAGCTGGTTTTCTTCAATATAAGTACTTCCAGATGAGTATAAGCCTTTGGTTATGTTCTGGAGTTTTAATAAAGTTTATTTTGGTAATTTTGGGGAAATGTTCTTGTTGTTTTTATGGAAAGAAGTGTTTTTGGAGGTCCTTGCTCCACTTTTCCTAATGATCTCTAATCTAACTTTAAATCAAACACCAAAGTCTAAATCTCGAATATGGCTTTTTGTTTGTTTGTTTTTTGTTTTGTTTTTGTTTGTTTGTTTGCATTTTCCGATCTAGTTTGCTTTTGATACTTTCCAATTCTCCATTGAGATTCTACATTTTACCTTTTATCTCACTGAATATGTGATTAAAATTAAAGCAGGCACTTTCTAATACTAATCAAAAGTTACTTTACATCTATAGCAGAAGGCTGCATACCATTTATATAAAATCAAAGATACAAGAACCAAATGGTAGAATGTGTAGGGATATATTCTGTGATAAAGCTAAAGAATAACAAAGAGAAAAAAAACAACAACAACAAAATCCAAGATCATGCTGTCTTCTCCAGTTAAGACGAGAGGATAGGATTTGAAAAGGAGCACGTGGGTAGTTTAGTGATATAACAAATATTTTATTTCTTAATTTGTATGATGAGTTCATGAATACATCTTCCATCATTATGCTTCGTAACTTACATATAGTTTATATTACCATACATTGTCATTGCATATTATACATTTGCAAACCAAATCCTATGTATCAATAATAAAACTGTAAGTAATTCCATTATTTTTTACCATCTGAACATAAAAAATAATTAGAAAGAAATAGCTTACTGAAAGTAGCATGATTTAGAGTATAAAAAGAAGATGAAAAGTGTTGACAACTGTATATTCATTAAAACATAAAGCCCTGGAATATTAGTTTTGATATAAATGATCTGAAAGGTCAAGATGCTAAGAAATGCTCTCATTATAAACAGAAAGTCTGCAACGTGAACTAATCAAGGCTTCTCAGATGATGACAGGGATTGAAACCTTGACACAAATATGTTTTGACAGTAGTCAAGGAATTCAGAATAAGAGTCTATAATTTAATCAACTAATTCTAGAAGAGGATCCATAACCAGAAATAGTTTCACATAGGGAGGTACAGAGGTACAAAGAAGGTGGACAGTAAAAATAAGACAAATGAAAATGACAAGCACTTTCCAAGATGTGTGAGCTTGCTTTGGGTGAGAAAAGATGTCTGAAGTTAATAACAACTTAGGATAGCCCTGCAGAGGTGCAGACGATTCTTAATGCTTATGTAGAATGTTTAATCTTATAATTCTGCAGCCCACGGTATAAGCATCACAGCTGGAAGGCATAATAGGATTTTATCAGTTTACAGATGTGAAGCACAAAACTCAAAATGCTCACCAAAGAACACTATTACCTCACTCAGTCATATTTCAAATGGCAAAACTATGATTTCAGCGTTCATGCTAACTACTATCATATTCAGGTTACAACCAATACTTAGCATAAAAATTGAAGGACTCTAGTACAACCTAAGATTTTCAATTCTAACAGAAAAATACAATATTTATTCTACATATATATACATATGTACTTTGCTTATAACTACTTAAACATACTTATCTTTTATAGTATTTTAGCCATCAGTTTTCCAAGGGAATGATGGTAGGTACACTTACCAACTTATGTAAAAGAATATTACCACATATTACACATATACTCAAATGCATTGATATTTATAGGTAGAGGTAAGCACACATAATTCATACCTGTGTTAATTAAGATACGTGCATACACAAAATTCCATTAATTAAATATCTCTTGAGCACATACAGCAGAGATAAAATAATATTACATCTTAATTTAACCTTCATACGTTGAATGAGCAAGTTACTATGTTTATTAAGTAAAGACACTTTAGAGTTCAGAAAGTGGAAATAGATTGAATGTGTCTAATAGATCCTTCTTCCAAGTCCTCAGTACCATGGCAAAGGCATTTAAAAATAAATATGCAAACCCACAAAGAGGTGACCATCAGGGGAGCAGAAAGCCATTCAACAATATTGTAATCTGGAAATAAAACAGTTGAGTAGAAATTCATCTAGCAGATCCAAATAGGCACCACAAGCTCATGGTGAGGGAAGATGGAAAACAATGTGATTTAAATGCAGATCCTCAAGCCTGGGCACGTTGGCTCACACCTGTAATCCAGGGACTTTGGGAGGCCAAGGTGGGTGGATCGCTCAAGCCCAGGAATTCAAGACCAGCGTAGGCAACATGGCAAGACCCTGTCTCTACAAAAATTATAAAAAAATTAGGTGGGCATGGTGATGCATGCCTTTGGTCCCAGCTACTTAGGAAGCTGAAGTGGGAGCATAGCTTGAGCCTGAGAGGTCAGGCTGCAGTAAGCCATGCACCACTGCACTCCAGCTGGGGTGACAGAGTGAGACTCTGTCTCAGAAAACAAAAAAACAAACAAATACATACATAAATAAATACATGCAGATTCTCAAAAGGTGCAGGGACCCCCAGTGCTGTTGGAATTCGGGATGAAAAATAGGACTGCATCGAAGAGGTAGACTGTGAGGGTTAATTATGTGTCAGCTTGGCTGGGCCACAGGATGCCCAGATATTTGGTCAAACGTTCATTATTCTGGAGGTGCCAGGGTGGGTGTTTTTAGATGCGGTTAACATTTAAGTTGGCGGACCGAGTAAAGCATGCTGGCCTCCCTGATGCAGGTGGGCCTCATCTAACCAGCTGAATACCTAAATATGAATAAAGGGCTGACATCTCCGCAATTAAGGGCGATCTCTGTTAACTGATGGCCTTTAAACTGGGATGTCAGCACTTTTCAGCCTTTGACTTGAACTGAAATACTGGATCTTATGTCTTGAGTTTGCCAGCCTTTGGACTAGAACAAAACCATCAGCTCTCCTGGTCTTTGGGCCTTCAGACTCAGACTGGACCTAAATCATTGGCTCTCCTGGGTCTTCACGTTGCTGACTGCAGATGACATGGTCTCCTCCATGGTCATGAGAGCCAATCCCTTATTACATATACACACTCACACGCATGCCCGCACAGACACATCATATGGCTTCTGCTTCTCTGCAGAACCCTGACTAGGACAAGAACATGGACTCTTCCTGTGAAGCCGTTCAGCCCCCAGATTGTTTTCGCCATCTCCAGGTATCCAGTGGCTGCACCTGTTCTGTTTCACTCCAATATGCTCAGGTTGACTCTGTGAGAGGGAGTCACGGAGGTTCTCAGACAGGCAGAAGCCACCGAGGCTGAGGGCACAGCTGCCATTTTGCAAATGAGAAGCAGACCAACCTCTGCACACCAGATGCTGGCTGCTAGTGGTCTTTCCAGAGCTAGTCCCAGGGCACAGTTAGATGAATTCCTACTTTTCAGACAAAGATGAGATGACAGTTTTATGAAAAATCTCAACTGCCAAAGAGAAAAAATAAAGACATGACATTGTGTCCTCCACAGCAAACAATCCATCTCATGACCAAGCTCAATGTTCAGAAAACCCATCTCTGGCTCAGAACTTCCAAATAGCAGCTGATTTCATCTTTTTTATTTATAAATAAAGAATTATGGATGTCCTGATGCCTGAGGAAAGTCTATGATGCGAAATAGAAAGTTTATACAAATCAGAAAACCAGTAAACAACTTAAAGGAGGAAGAAAAAAAGCCAGGAGCCAGGTATGGTGTGTGCCTGTGGTCCCATCTATTCGGGAGGCTGAGGAGGGAGAATTGCATGAGCCCAGGAGGTCGAGGCTGCAGTGATCCATGATCATGCCACTGCACTTCAGCCTGGACAACTAGAGAGAGAGAGAGAGAGAGAGAGAATGTCAAGCATATTATCATAAGATTCTCAGAAAAACAAGAGAAGTTACTGTACACATGAGGTAAGAATAGTGTGTGACTCATAAGGACATGCTTCTGAGAATTACAGGGAACCTCAATTAAAAACTTGGAAGACACAGGCCAGGCGCAGTGGCTCACGCCTGTAATCCCAGCTGTGATTGGGAGGCCAAGGTGGGCGGATCACGAGGTCAGGAGATTGAACCATCCTGGCTAACACGGTGAAACCCCATCTCCACTAAAAATACAAAAATTAGCCGGGCGTGGCAGCGGACGCCTGTAGTCCCAGCTACTCGGGAGGCTGAGTCAGGAGAATGGCGTGAACCCGGGAGGCGGAGCTTGCAGTGAGCCGAGATTGCGCCACTGCACTCCAGCCTGGGCGACAGAGTGAGACTCCATCTCAAAAAAAAAAAAAAAAAAAAACTTGGAAGACATAGTTAGGAAATTCTCCCAGAAGACAGAGCAAAAACACAGGAACACAGGGAGAGGGAACAAGGACTAATCCTAAAAGTCTTACTACAGTAATAACAGGAGTCTCAGACAGAAAAAAAATAAGAGAGAAGATGGGAAGGAGGGATTCAATTAAGTAGTCCAAAAAGAAGAGGTTCTTACCTCAGGAAATAGGCATTAGAATACCTTTAGATTTCTCAAAAACAACACTAGAGATTAGAAAACATTGAAGAAATGATTTCATAACACTGAAGAAAAAATATTTCTAAGTTAGAATTCAGACAAACTCCTAGTCAAATGAGAAGATACAGTGAAGACACTACCATTATTAATGAATTAAAAATAAAAAATCCCCGTACATCTATTACCAGAAACTACCTGAGGATGTCCTTCACAGAAATGAAGGCATAAATCATGAAAAATATATATATATAAGGTACAGGGAAAACAGAAGATTCTCACAGGAAGGAGAAGAGAGGAAACCCAAGATGGCGATGCAGGGGATTTGAAAATGGCTACCATAGGCAGCAGGCAGTGGGCGACCAGTCCAAACTGGAATAAGTATGGAAATTGTTGGCCACGAACAGTGCAGAAACCTGTATCCTAACTGTGCTTCCTCCCAAGACAACTGAGAGTCATGATGAAAACAAATAGGACCATTATTTCAATCTCAGAATTCTTCTGTTGGATGCCTATGAATTTCAGTGCTTACCATGAAACTTGGGGTTATTTCTGAATCAACTTTGTGGCAAAAACATTCTGATCTCTGTAGAATATAGAAGAAAACAAAGGGATGTTCAGATAAAATAAACTCTCTTATAGATATATACGTTTATATATGCATACAATATTTATGACAGGATAGGATAATCTGTTAGCATTAATTGTATTACAAAGCAAAATTAGATGGCTGAAGAAATACTTTATAAATTAGATTTATATTTTCACTATTTTATCTTATTTCTTTTGAATTTTTCACCATATACACATTTTATTTAAATTTAATAAAAAACAAATTAATGAAAAATGAAAATACCATTTGAACCAGCAACTTGACTTCTAAGCATTTGTCTTATATATTTACACATATATCAATCATCTACATGGAAATATTTTTATAGAAGAATTTTCATTGCAACATTGTGCTAGAAAAATATTGGAAATAAAACAAATGCAGACAATCAAGAGACTAATAAAGAAATAAATAGGTAATAGAAAGAGAGATGAGATAAACGGATGGATGAATAGATGGATGGTTAAATTGAAGTATGGATGAATTCATAGATAGATGGATAGATAGATGACTGATAGAGATAGGTAGATAGATGATAGATAGATAGATAGATAGTTGTAGGCAGGCAGACAGCTACAACATTCTTCAGTGGCAAAAATATGAAGAAAAAAGTTATCAACACAGAACTTTTTTTTTCTTTTTCTTCCTTCTTCTTTTTTTTTTCTTTATTTTTTGAGATAGAGTCTCACTCTGTCACCCAGGCTGGAGTGCAGTGGCATGATCGCGGCTCACTGCAACCTCCACCTCCCATGTTCAAGTGATTCTCCTGCCTCAGCCTCCTGAGTAGCTGGGATTACAGGTGCCCTCTACCCCGCCTGACATCAGGTGACCCTCCCCCGCACCTCGGCATCCCAAAATGATGAGATTACAGGACTGAGCCACTGTGCCTAGCCAACATAGAACATTTTCTGATGTGCATTGTTAAATGAACCAAAAGCAAAGTTAAAGTATAATATGCTACCATTTGTGTAAAGACACAAGAGAAATACTAACTTTTCATGTTTTGTTAGATGTGCATAAAGTACAAAGCATGTGGAAGAATATGAGGTCATTAAAAACATCAATTTTATCTGGAGAAGAGACTTTCTGGCAGGGGGCATGTGTTCTCATGAGGATTTTCAGTGCATATTTATTTGTATCTTTTATATTTTGAACATGTGGATATATAACTCATTCAAACATTAATGCTTCATTAGAAAAGGTCAAGGAAAATACTGGATGTGGGAAGCATATGAGAAACCATATGAAGATAGGTGACCCAAGAAAGAACAGATCATATAGAGAATTTTTCAAGATAGCTTTATAAAAGGAAATGTTGCAGCGGTATTTAAGGCAATCTTGATGGATAAATGTTGTTCTGGAAGAATATAGATGAAAATTGTTTGAAATGCTTGTTCCCCGGTGCCGTAAAGAAATAGCACTTGTACATAAATTTAACTTCCTCAGCAAGCCCATTTTTATACTTTCTGCAGGAAGGGAACACTCACCAGCAGTTTTGCCACGAGAGTACACCAAACAAAGGAGACAGGGTCATTTATAACCTGACGCAGCCACCCTACTGCTGTGTCGGGTTTCCATTGGCTGGAATGGGACCTCACATTCTGTATTTGTCCCGATTGGCTAGCAGCTTAGAACTTTTAAAGGAGGCAAAGGCAGAGGAGAACAAAGGAAGGAGGAAGTAACTGGTGGAATGCTGAGAAAGGTAAAAACACCTTCAAATAAGGAAGAGGAACAGGCTATGACCTAATGCTTGCTTGGACCAGTATAAGCATGCCAGGGCAAATATTTGGGCTACATTTTGGAAACTAAGAACATAAAGTACATTGATTTCTTTATTACAGCTAGCAGATATTTAAGAATGTCAGCACAGGTGTTTGAATAAATTTTGCTTCTAAGAGAAGTTACTATTTATTCCTAATTAGATGGGGAGGAAAGTCTTTGAAGAGGAACCTCTACTTTACTTTTTACAAAATGAAAGGGAGAAAGTGGTCAGGATTAAAACTTTCAGGCAGAGAAAAAAAGCTGAATAAATACATGGATATAGAGAACCTATGGACCATGTCCCAGGATGACTGGGGCATGGGAAATATGTAAGGACGTCATTAAAAATAAGGCTGATATTCCTGTTGCAAAGATGGTGTTGAGTGCAGGAATGGCATAGTGTCAGAACAGCACTGTACAGAAGAATGATCTATACATAAATGAAAATCTTTTAGACTAAAGGGGAGACTAATTATCATTTTAGAAATTTAATTGTTTGGAAATCATTCACCATTTTGTATAGTATTTTGAGATACTGTTGATTTTACAGAAAGTCTTGCTGGAATATTATGGATGTCCTTTTTCTTGATTAATTCGTTTCTATTATGTTTATTTTACTTTACGTTTCTTTATCATAAAATTATGGTTAATTAGAGTTGGTTGACTTTCTGCATGACTTGTCACTTGTGTGCATGTTTGCGTGTATGAGATAAAAATTAAAAAACACTATTAAATTTGTGGTCAAGTCTTTGGGAGCTGGTGGCAGGAACCGTGTGCACGAAGTACTCATCTTCTGCTCCCAGGCATCTTCCACTTCTCTTGGTCATTGTTTTAAAATGTACAATTAGTCATGGCCTGTGGGCGTGAGAAAAGTTCACCAAATTGCATAAACAATATTTTTAATAATCAAAAGTCTTTTGAAAATGTTAGAAATCCAGTTAATATCCACAGTGTTGAATCCATGGAAAACCATATCTACAATCAAAACAATGTGTTAAGCAGAGTGAACATATTTATTAATGATGTGAAATAAGCAGTGTATTTTATCTCTTCCAGAGTGCTTTCTAAGACAATCCCCAACTGAGCAACATTTAATGTGTTGATTATCAGCTATGTTGCAAGGTGCTGGGCTATGGAATACATACATACATACATACATACATACATACATACGAAGTAGGAGTACCTTTAAGGAGGGCACTATAGTAAGAAAGATATATTTATAGACAATTAATGATAATGTATTTTGAAGTATTGTATTACAGATATGCACAAAATCATTGGGATCTGGTATTTACGCTAAAACTTACAAAAGTTTTGGACTCTTTTGAAATGTGCAGAAGGGCACACTCACAAGCCAAGACCAAAGTAAACATCTAGAAATGACTTGAAGATGTTCATACCCACTCCCGCCTGTATTTTCATATCTATTTATTTGACATCATATTAAAAAACATTCCTGAATTTCAGCATTTCAGTGTGCGGCATCATCATGCAAGCTCTGTAAGAGGAGAGTAAGATCAGTACTCCTACTTGTAAATGAAAGAGAAGAAAACAAAAACAAGCAAATTCCTTCTAAGGTGTGAGGAACACGAGTAAACAGAGAAATCACCTAAGGAGAAAACAGGAAGCAGATTTGAAACTGTGGCCACCAACGACACGAGGGAGCGCAAAACCCAGCCCACTTGCCAGGGAGGCTGGCAGAGCCCACACCCAGTCTGGTGCCCTGGTCGGTTACATTCTGCTGTAAGTTATTCCTGCCTTTAGCTCATTCTATCACAAAGCCCAAGCTCTCAATGCCCGCAAAATGAGCCAGCAACAGGATTATTCTCATAGAAAATGGACCATTGACGGCTCAGTCGTTAAAGCCAATTCAGACGAATCATGTCTTCTTCCAAGTGCACAACTATCCCTAATGTGTAACTAATACATATTTGTGAAATAACTTATTACTGAAAATTAGGTTTTAGTAATTTGTAGTTATCAAAATAAATTCAGTTTGAACAAATGGAATATCAGACCATAAAAATTCATAGGATGTAAGAAAGAAAATAGTAAGAAAGGCAGATTTCTCATAAATATTATAAGTTTCATGATGGTTCTATGCTTATAGTTCTGAAAATATGTAAGCAAACATCTTAAAGATCAATGAGAAAAATGCCCTTTTGGATATATTAGAGAACAATTCAAGGAGAAAAAAAATCACCAATTCAATGGTGAATTTGAATGGTGAATATTATCACCATTCAAAAAAACAGGGTATCATTAATATACAACCACAATCCTATTAATATCTACTAATTGTGGGAAAACATGATTGGAAATGGAAACAAAAAATGCAATATGAGATTGGTGGGAAATTTATGTTTTACCATAGGAAAAAATGTGAACGCAAATTACGTTGTTCTTTCGGGATGTACACTTCTCCCGCCTACGACCGAATAGTGAATAAGGTTCACAGGGATTATGTGAATCCTGGGCAGGTCCTGAGCTACTCAGCATTGAACAGCATTCGAGGCCACTGCAGTGGAGCCACTCTCATCAGTAACAGGTGTATTCTCCCCTGGTTTTCATCCTAATACCAAGCAAGTGGGATCTTGTAAGCATGTGGTTTTTCTGCCCTTTCCTGGCAGTTGTCAGATTTGTACTTACGTAGCAGCCAGGAGTACATTATTGTTTCCAAGGAAAGGAAATGGCACATCTCTTTGACATTGCAAGATCTGACCCACTGCTTTAATTAGCATTTTTACAGAAAATAATCTGAAATGACAGGCAGTCTTTCCTACTTCCTTTCTGCATTTCAGTTTTGAAGCAGCGTTCAAAATCAGTTGTGGATCAAGTCAAGATGAACTCTGAAACAATACTTTAAATACCCCTGGATGATTTTGAAGGTATTTGTAAGTGAGAATAATTCATTCTGCTTTAAAGCATAAAATCAACTTCCCCCAAATGCAACATGTTAGTTAAAAGAATCATACCCTTTTTAAAAAAAACTTTGATGGCATCCAGCCAGAAACTACCTGCTCATAATTTGCTGAAATCTACATAGCTCATCATTTCACGTTGTAAACTCCATTGCACATAGAACACATAGCTAAAACAGAGGAGCCTGCTAAATGCACATATTTGCCACTGGGCTGGTCCTGGTCTTTAAATGTGGCACACCAATTCCACAGAAGAGAAGGTCAAACTGCTTTGAATTTGAGAGACTCAATCCTTTATTTCCATCAGACTTCCAGAAAAACAGTGACCTGAAATGGCAGAGGGGTTCCTCAATCCTTGTAGACAAAATATGAACAACCAGGCTTCTCTCCCTTCCAATGGAACGTAAATGGAAAAAAGCAAACCACAGCCGCCTGCATTTAGGAGAAGCTTTTATTTATCTCATTATCAAGATCCTTTTAATTTGCTAAGAGTTTCTTATGGCAAACAAATACCTCTTACCCCCCACTTCCGAGAATGCGGGAACAGATGAAAGGAAAGTGTAATGGTTTTGATCTCATTAGGACATCGGCATTAGTGGGGCAGCAATTATAAAAGTAATTGACTCTGCTTCACCCGGCGTCGGGAGGGAGTCATTCTGAAGACCCATCGTGCTCCGAGGTTGGGCTGTCATCCTTCATCTTCTGCTGTGTGCCCGTGTGTTAGGTTTTCATCCCTCAAAGGCATTCAGTCTTTCTCTGGGACTCAAAGTGCAGCATAAGAAATATCTTGGAGTGTTGGTTATTGCTGCCTGGGATTGACTGTTCAGATACAGCTCCATCAGGGAAACCAAATATGTTGCTGCCACCCTGACATTTTTGTGTTTTTCTACCTGATCATCTGTATAGGACAAGGGAATTTCTTCTCTGTGGTGACCTGTCATGAATTAATGATCCCAGCATACCCAGTAAAGTTTTTAATGTGCAGTATGGGTTAATTCATAAGACATGGTCTGACTCAGGTTTGTTTATACAAAAATGTGCTCTGTCCACACCAACATGGCACATGTATACACGTGTAACAAACCTGCACGTTGTACACATGTACCCTAGAACTTAAAGTATATATATATAAAAAAACAAAACTAGTTATTGGGCACTATACTCTCTACCTGGGGTTGCACCCCAACTCTCAGCATCACACAATATACCCATGTAACAACCTGCACATGTACCCTCTGAATATAAAATAAAAGTTGAAATTATTTAAAAAAAGTTCTCTGTCTACTATGAATTTATATGACCCATGTTTTTCAGTAACCTTTAATTTTAGAATAGTTTTCAATTCATAGAAAATGTTTAAGATACTCCAGAGGGTTCCCATGCACTCTGTATCCAGTTTGTGTTATTGACAGTGTGTTTTTAGGGTATATTTGCACAAGGGAACCAATATGGATGTGTTCATCTTTACTAAAGCTCATATTGTATTCTTGTTTCCTCATTTTTGTCCCCCATGTCACCTCTCTGTCTCGGGATCCCATGAAGGACACTGGGTGACTTTGAGCTGTCATGTTTCTGAGGCTGTTCTTGGCTATCACAGATTCTCAGACTTTCCTTGCTTTCGATGACGTTGACAGTTTCAAGGGAGACTGGTCAGGTGCTTGGTGGATTGTCACTCAAATGGAGCTTTTCTGATGTCTTTCTCATAATTAGGCAGGAGCTAAAGACATTTGGGAGGAAGACCACAGAGGCAAAGCGCTGTTCTCATCATGGCACATCAAGGGCACACCAAGGCGACTTAGTGTTGTTGGGGTTTATCTTGATCCTGGCCTCGGGTTGTGTTTGTCACATTTCTCCACTTAAAGTGGTTCTTTTTGTTTCTCTTTCTCCTTGTCCACCTTTTGCTCTTTAAAAGAAAGTTGATGTGAGAATCTCACACTTCAGGAATGGAGAGTTGTCCTCTGCCTCCTTGAGGGTGAAATATCTTTGGGAACTACTTAGAATTATTTTGTATGGGAGACTTATTTTTCAATCAATAAATAGAGACCTATAAGTTGATCTTGTTTATTTATTTATATGGTCAATCATTTATGTATATCACTGTGGACTTGTGAATACTGATGTTAGACTTTGGGTTATATTCCAATACTATTTTATTTATTTTGTTGTTCAAATTTTCCAGATTTGACCACTGAGAGCTTTTATGACCGGGGCCTATGTCCCTTTGATATAATCTCATTGTTGTTTTGTGTCTGGGAATTTTTTTGTTTTGTTTTGTTTTGGGGGCTTCACACTACTTTTTGGCACTACAAGTTGTGCCAGGCTCATGTGGTTTGTTCCCTGCCCCAGTCCTAGGGTCAGCCACTTCTCGAAGGATCCTGGTTTCTTTTATTGGAGAACAGTATTCAAATCCATGATTATGGCTGGGCGCAGTGGCTCATGCCTATAATCCCAGCACTTTGGGAGGCCAAGGCAGGTGGATCACTTGAGGCCAGGAGTTCAAGATCAGCCTGGCCAACATGGCAAGACCCTGTCTCTACTAAAAATACCAAAATTAGCCTGGTGTGGTGGTGCACATCTGTGGGCTGAGCTACTTGGAAGACGGAGGTTGCAGTGAGCCAAGATTGCACCCCTGCACTCCATCCTAAGCAACAGAGTCTTGAAAAAATAAAAAAAGAGAAATGTGTTAAAAAAAATTCATGATCAGCGTTCCAGTTGTGCTCCTTGTTACTGGAGCATTCTCATCCTGCAGAACAAGTAAATGTATGTGTGTGTTCTAATCCATGTACCTATAAATACCTCCAAATATTTTACATGTATCAAAGAAAATATGAGACTCCTGCTGTCCCCACTCCATTCCATTGCCCCATGCACTATGCTCGTGCCTTTGTCTGTGAGCTCCCACTCTTCAGCTGGAAACCTGCTCTCATCACCCGCCATCCATTCATTAATTACCTCCCTCCCATGCCCATCACCCACCATCCATTCATTAATTACTTCCCTCCCATGCACACGCAATGTGGTTTTAGTGTGTTGGCTGGCACCCCTGTGGGAAACCTCTTTATCAATCAGAGCACAGTGCTTGTGTGCAGTTCCCTTTGCCTTCAGTCTTCAGAATCTACTCATTTTCAATGTCTTTAGGTCAGCACCTCTGTCCCCTTCCAGTGAGGTTGTTTGTAATGTACAGTTGTAGAAGGTTTTGTCCCCATCTACATTCTTTCAAGGGTTTTCTCAACCTCATACATTATTTGCTTTTAATTTTTACTCAATAAGTTTCATTCTTTGTGCCATAAGTTTCTCCAGGCTCTGAGAAGGGCATAGCATCACAAATCCATTATCACAGTAATATGAAGAAGAATATCACAGCCTACAATTCTAAAACTCTATTTTCTATGCCATATTAATGATTGTTGTAAGTTAATTCTTTTTGGAGGGGGGGGGCCCTTAGCCAAATTTAGTGATTTGAAAATCTCTTTCACTGTGATTCAGAAAGTTTGATTTGATAAAATGCTTTTATTTTAGTCTGATGTTTTTGCTAAAGGGAATCAAATAAATGCAACGAATCCTTGGAATTGACTCAAAGGCCCAAAAGGGTCAAATGACAAAGAACTGGTCTCCTACAACGTCTCTGAGAACAAGCTCTAAGTGGCTCATTCCAGACAAGGAGCACTTGTATGTAAGCGGAGACGTCATCGTAGGGCAGCAGGAAGTTTCATATCCCTAGAACCTAGGAAGCTGTGACACGACATTTACTTTTCATCATTTTGCTTTGTTTTTATGTAGAACTAGTATCAGGAGACCTCCCTTTATTTAACACTACTCAAAAATATGACGTATGATAGGCATAATTACTGGGATTTAGGAGTGCATTCTAATTTAATTTTTATAGCTTTTTTTTTTTTTTTTTTGAGACAGAGTCTCACTCTGTCTCACAGGCTAGAGTGCAGTGGCATAATCATGGCTCACTGCAGCTTCAGCCTCCTGGGCTTAAGGCATCCTTCTGCATTAGCTTCCCAGGTAGCTAGGACTACAGGTGTGTGCCACTACCCCCAGCTAATTCTTTTGTTATTATTTTTGTATAGAGATGGCATCTCACTTTGTTGCCCATGCTAGTCTTGAACTCCTGGCCTCAAGCAATTCCCCTGCTTCAGCCTTCTAAAGTGCTGGGATTACAGGCACGATCCACCATGCTGGGCTCCCCTTATAACGTCTGAGCAAAGTTTTCCTTTATAGCAAGAGAACAGACCTCCACCTACATATGTAACTGTAGGATATTTAAAAGTACATTATATTACGTAATGAGGAGGCCAAGTTATAAATCAGGCCCAAGTGGAGAAAACCCCATAGCAGCATTTACAGGCAACACCTTCCGTAGACAGCTCCAATGACTGGGAGACCCAGCGTGTGTGCATGAAGCCACTTCAGAAGGAAAAGGTGAGGTGGAAACATTGCGTCTCTAAGCATGCGAGTAGCAAAGACTCGACCTCCAAGGCTTTCACCGACAAACAGAATTCCAGGAATAGATATAGACAGATGACTCGCTTTTAGAAAAGAGCTCCTGAGAGCATTCCCGTTACTGTGGCCGGAATCTGCCCCCTGGAATCTGCTCCATGACTGGGACGGGCATCACACGAAAAGCAGCCTTTGGAGCTCTGGCTATCCAGCTGCTCGGACACTCGAGAGTGTAGACAGCATCAATGCATCTTACTCTTGGGTTCTGAGGCTGACACTCCAGAGTGTAGACAGCATCAGTGCACCTTTGTCTTGGCTCTGAAGCTGACATTGCAGAGTGTAGACAGCATCAATGTGCCTTCCTCGTGGGATCTGAGGCTATGCCTTATTGCTGGATCTAAAAAATTCTGCTCAGTTTGTCAGAGGCCTCTGTGTCTAAGAGATGGCTTTCACATTATTTGAATTAATTTAGATCTCCTGCAGCCAGGACCTTCAGGATTTCTAGTCTGCCACGTAGAGGGATAGCCAGATCTCTTCTATTTTTTCTATCAAAGACATCTTAGTTTTGTGCTTAACAGTCATATTTGGTTATGTTTTTCTTAGTCCAGCCATTTACTTTAATACAGTCTTGCTTGTTTTCCCCCAATAATTTTAGTTCCTCTTGCATGTTATTTTCTGTTTTAAATGCGTTTTATAATATTTTCTGATAATTCATTTATCTGAACTACAGGGCTGCACTTGTTTCTGCTGATCTTGATTTCTTTTTTTAATCTTGGTGGCTGGCTCCCTGGAGTCAGAAGCTTAAGTGGCCTGGAGAGATCCATCGTCCTGGGGAGAATATGAATTGACTTCCATGATGTGAGCCTAGGGGCATCGTAGACCCAGAGTCAACCTCATGTCTCTACTTGAGCTTTTCTGAACCAAAAACATCAGTAAAATTTGACTTTGAAACCCTTGAGACAGTTTTTGGGGGTCTTTTGTTTGTTTATTTGAAGTTGAGAAAAAAAACATTCTTACATGCAGAACCCAGAGATGTTTCTGTTCTGTCTGGGCGGAACAGGCCCACCGGCCCTTTCTCGAGGAGGTTTTCACTGTGACCTTGGCTGTATTTTGGGTCTCACTTTCATTCCACACTTGTACCATCTCTGTGTCTTTTCCTGTGTGCTCTTTCTGTAGGTTGAAAGCCAGACCTCTAAGACACCAAGAGCAGCCAATGCCCCAAGGTGGCAAAGTGCCAAAAATTGTGTTCTGTCTTTGCTTCCTGTGAGATTCTTGCCCTTGGGAACTTCCCTGTTCAGTCCAAGTTGAGGATTGTACTTGACAGACTTTAAAAAATCTTTTATCTGACACTTTGAGGTGTTTCATAGTAGGAACACTTTCAGAGTGTTATTTTTGGTTGCATTGTTTTTGAACATCATCGATTTTATTTTCAAATGAACACCTTAGATTATTGCCCATGAACTCTTTGACAGATGATAAACGAGGAGACACAGAAGAGTTAAGTGGGCTGCTCCAGCTTCTGCATTGATTAGTTTTCAATTCTAAACTCCTTCTCAAAGCTCTCGGCCTCTGCTGCCAGTTGCATCTCCACCACATCACGGTGGGTACTCAACACGCCAAGTCCAGGTGGGTGCGAAAGTGGACGACCCTCGTCTACTTTAGGGAGGCCCAAAGGCTGAGAGGTGCACTTTGACCATAGCTATTGCAGTCTTAGTGTATCTTCCCATGGATTATGCATGGATTTCAAGATACAAGAAGAGCGAGTTTCCAGTGGAGAAGCCTGGCAGACAATGGCACGATCAGATATCTGAAGTCCACATCACCAGGGTGGGGGCCTCCAGCCATGAACACCCCCTGAGCAGGAGACTAAGGGGTTCACCCCACGACAGCAGACTTTCTGCCAAAAATATCCGATTGTAAAGCAACACCAGGCAAACCCAAATGGAGGAATGTCTTATAAAGTCACACATGCACTCCAAACGGGTCACAGCCCAAAAAGAGAAAGGAGGAGAGGAAGCAGGGCCACACCAGCCTGAGCCAGAGAGCACCACAAACCAGGAAAACTTTCCATAAAGTGTGGTACTGGGACCATGAGTGGGGCGTGATAAGGAGCTGTGATTTACATAATAATATTCAATCGAAGTGAACATGCTTTATTTTGATGATGCTTTGGGTAATAAAAGAGAGTATCTTTTATTTTATTAATGGAATAAAGAGGAAGCATGCCTCCAACTTCATATCAAATAACTCAGACAAAAAATCATATATATATATATATATATAAAATCAAATATATCAGTCACGTGTGTGTGTGTATGATGAGAGGGGAGAGACAGAGATAGATAGATAGAGCAGAGATGGAGAGAGAACAAGTGAGGAAAAAGATAAAAATTGATGGATTTGGGTAAAATACATGCTCTAGTTCCTTTTGGTATTCTCAGACTTTCTGTCTATGTTTGAAACCCTAAAAATATAAATAAAAGTTAATAACAAATTATATGAGAGGAAAACAAATTGAGCACACAACCAGTGTGTCAAGCTCTGGGACTTTCATCCCCAAAATGGCCCCATTTCCTAATTTGCACAAAAGCTTTTGGAGCCCAGGAATTGCTCTGTGCTCTGCTCTGAGGCTCCTGGAATTAGTCCATTCATTAAATAAATTATCATGAGCTCTTATAACATGCCAGGCCTTTTTCTAAGCTCTCAGCATAGAACAGTGAACAGCATTGACAAGGTTCCTGCTTCTACTGGAGTTTACATTCCAGCAGACAGTGACAGAAATCAATCACATAGAGGAATATTTATAGAGTTTCTAACGGTAATGATTTCTTAAAAGAAAGATATACTATGGCAAGGAGATAGACAATCGGTGCAAAAAATTCAATTTTTGTGTGTGTGATGGATAAGGAACACTCACTGATAAAATCTTGGTAAAAATAGAGATTGTGAGCAAAATATGAAGACTTGTGGGGCAAGAGTATCCCAGGCAGAGGAAAGACATAGAGAGTAAGCATGTTTTGCTTTGTGTTAAGGTGAAGGAAGGAAGGAAGGAAGGAAGGAAGGAAGGAAGGAAGGAAGGGGAAAGGGAGGGGAGGGGAGGGAGGAAGGAAAGGAAGGAAGGAAGGAAAGGAAGGAAGGAAGGAAAGGAAGGAAGGGAGGATTGAAGGAAGGAGGAAGGTGAGGGAGGGAAGGAAGGAAGGAAGGAAAGGGAAGGAGGGAGGAAGGAAGGAAAGAAGGAAGGGAGGGAGGGAAGGGGAGGAAGAGAGGGAGGAAAAGAGGAAGGAAAGGAGGAAGGGAGGGAGGGAGGGATGGAGAAAGGAAGGAAGGAGAGAAGAAGAGAGGAAAGGAGGATTGAAGGAAGGAGGAAGCGAAGGGAGGGAGGGAAGGAAGGAGGGAAGGAAGGAAGGAAGGAGGGAAGGAAGGAAGGAAGGAGAAGTGGGAAGAAAAGCAGAGGGCAGGGACTGCCGGAACCTTGTGTGAATCACCCAGGGCAGAGGACTCCATCTTTCGCTCTGTATTTGCATCTCCCGAGGAGCTTTTAAAAATATCAGTGTCCAGGTGCCATGACTCGGGGTTCTGATTGAATTCATTCGTGCTTGGTAATTAGCATCTATATTTTTCACAGGCTTCCCTAGACTGATTCTAAATTGTGGCTGGGGTGAGATTCATGAATCACTGCCGCTTAGGCTGTAGTATTTCATTTTTATTCTGCGTGTGATGGGAACCTCCAGATTAGGAGCTGAGGAATGACATAGTCTGACTTGCCTTTAAAAGCACCCTAGAGAGAACTGACTGGGGAATAAGGTTAGAGGTTAGGACAGTGTGGCAGTCAGAGAGGCTGGGTGCTGGTTTGAATTGGGTGGTCCTGGAGCAGTCATGAGAATGGTTAGGGATCTGGATGGCTTCTTACCACAGAGTCGCTCTGCTATGCACTCGGTGGACCGGAGGCTTTTCTTCCTGCCAAGTCTGTGTGTTGAATCCTAATCCCCGATACGATGGCATTTTGGAGATGGAGACTTTGTGGGGTAACGAGGATTAGATGAGGTTGTGATTGCAGAAAACTCAAGGGATTGGTGCCTCCATGAAAAGATGCCCCAGAGAGTTCTCTCCCCTATTCTGCCATGTGAGGGACACAGGGAGAAGGTGCCATCCATGAACCAAGAAGCCAGCCCTGCACGGACCCTGAATCCGCCTGCATCTTGATCTTGGACCTCCAGCCTCCAGAGCTGTGAACAACAGGCCTCTGCTGTTGTAGCTTCCCGTCTGCGATACTCGGTTCTAGCATCTCAACAGACCAAGACACGCTCCAATTTGCCAATGTTTGAAGCAGGGTATGTGAGAAAAAGGGCATGAACCTCCGCCATTCTCTGAACAACAACGTTTTTGCCATTTCCTAAGACACAGGAGAGCTAGGGAGAAGAAAGTTGGTGCCTGGGATCAATACTTTAGTTTTGGACATGGTAAATTTAAGAGATCCAATTCAGAAGTCAACTAGCCCAGGGGAATGAAGAAAACTGAGCCCATTAGTCTAGAAAATTAATATTTACACATGATTCATTCGAAGAACTAGGAAGGCTCGTGCTGACTCTTACTTCTCCTGAAATTGCATTTTCACTCATAGAATAAAGGCAGTTTATGAAATAAGACATATCATTAATTTCTTCAACTTTTTTGTAATTTGTAATATATGTGATGCATCATAAACTTTCATTTCAGTATGAAAATGTGTTTCTGTATTATTTTCTTTGAATAGCAACAAAACGACAGAAAACAAGTCGCTAAGATAATTATTTGGGAATTCTATTTAAAGACTATCTTTTGAAGAAGTGGAGATCTGACTCATAAGTTGTTTTCTATACAGCATCGCATTAAAGCCTCAGGACTGCCTTAAAAAGACAGGTTTGGAACTTGCTGACCTCTGGCAAGCCCTCTGTAATCCGTACCATGCTCAATTCTTTCACCGAATTCTAGCACCCGAGGAGCCCCTGTCGGAGCAGAAGGTCTGGGGTCGTTGCTGACCGACCGACAGCTAGGGCGTGGTTGAGGCAGCTATTTGCAGGTTCCACGAGGACCCTGCTTTATGGCATCTGTAGTCTCTGCCCATCCAGTTCCAAGACCAACTTCACCACAGTCTAAAAGCGGAGTTTTGATGAAATTGTATTAACCAAAACCCAACGTGAATTCAATTTTAATGTCCTTTTTGCAGAATAAATATTCTGACATATTCTTCAGTAGCACAAATTGAAGTTTTAAAACTAAGAAACAGGAAAACCACCAGTGTGTTCTGAGTAAGGACAGCTTTGACCCAACTTATCTCATCAGAAAGGCAGACATCAGTGACTCAGTGGTCTCGTCAGAAAGCTGTCACTCAAATTCACTGGCACTCCTGCCATTTTGCCCAATACTGAGGGTTCCACAGGGTTCATGTCACCTCATGAACTAACAACAATTTAATACTGAAGAATACGAGGAAATAATGTTCACATAATATCAAATTATAGCCACAGGTTCAAGCATTCACTGAAATGTCTTACTCTGTTCCTAAGATTGTGTTACTTCAAGTTTATTAGTGTTTTGTTTATTCCATCATCTGTTAGCTCCCTGCAGCATTTTTAGAAGGTACCAAATAAGAAAAACGTGGATGAAGATGGAGAAAGCATACAAAACTTTTACACACTGGTTTGAAGGTAATACTATTTATTTTGTTTATTGGTAAACACCTTAATCTAGTTCACTAGCCACTAATGGTCTGCAGAAATAGATTGGTGCAAAAGTCATTGCGGTTTTGGCTTTTTTTTTTTTTTTTTCCTTTTTTGACACAGAGTCTCACTCTGTCACCCAGGCTGGAGTGCAGTGGCACGATCTCAGCTCACTGCAAGCTCTGCCTCCTTGGTTCACACCATTCTCCTGCCTCAGCCTCCCAAGTAGCTGGGACTACAGGCACCTGCCACCACGCCTGGCTAATTTTTTTATTTTTTTTTTTTGTATTTTTAATAGAGATGGGGTTTCACTGTGTTAGCCAGGATGGTCTCGATCTCCTGACCTCGTGATCCTCCCGCCTCAGCCTCCCAAAGTGCTGGGATGACAGGCGTGAGCCACCACACCCAGCCGGCCATTACTTTTAATGACAAAAACTGCAATGACTTTTGTACCAATCTAATACATTAGAAATAGCCATTTCTGAAAGGTAAATATGTAGGTTTCACGGAACAGACACTGTGTGGCATGTGGCATTAGGTAGCATGTGCTTTGCTTACCAGCTTGTCTTAACAATCAGGTGAGGTGACCCGGTACAGGCATCTGCAGACTGGCTTCAGGACTAGGCAAAACACCTAATGTCTTGAAGCCTCACTTTCTAGATCCTTACCTGCTAAATGAAAAGGAAGCATAGTATGGGAATCATAGATTTTGTATGAATTGCATGGAGAAACGTGAAGTGCTTAGCAAAATATCTAATATAAGGTAAGTTTCCAGCATGTTTTAATAAACTCATAAATCATCTCACAAAAATTGATATGCATGTTACCTTTACAAGTATGGAATAGTGGCTTAGGGAAGCAAATTGAGTTATTTAAAGTCCAACATGTAGAATATGACACCTAAAATCCAATCGAGGTCTATGCACCTGCACAGCCTCTGTTCTCTACACCATACCTCAGTGGTTCTCATAAGCATTCAAGGATTCCATCCAAGAATGTTTGAAATAGCCTGCAAGTTCCAATGGTAATCTGGTATATAGTTTCTTTCATAAAAAGAAAGAATATTTACTTTTGCTTTGATATTTTTTGCTAAAAAATGTTTTCCCTATAGTTTTAATTATAAGTTAATATATGTGACAGAATAATTTAACATCAAAAAATTCAAACATCTCAGTGCTGCAGACAGTACTTCTTAAGATACTCTTTGAATATTTTGATAATATTGGAAGCAAATATACCACACTAGAAGTGATTTTTAAGCATTGGAAATCGCCCCATATAGTAGCCTGTTGCAGAGAACAGGTGCAAATACTTGGATAGTCGGTGGTCTGCACCCAGCGTCAGAGCACCCTGGTCAACTGCACTCTTGGATGTGAAGTATATACAGATGCCAATCTGTGCCATATCTGCAGCTCTCTGACTGGCCAAGCTGCGACCACCTTCATCCTTGCAAGTCTGGCATTTCCCAGTGTTTTTAAAGCAATTATTACAGCCCTTGACAAATATAGGATCTGCTGGCCAAGGAACTTCATTTCTAAAACTCACACCTTCATTCCACACCTTCATTTCTAAAACTCACACTCAAACTCAACCAGCATAACCTTGAAGGCACTAGGATGTGTTTTGGAATCCCATAATAAAGACATTAACTTGGCGGAAACAGAGAGACACATTTGTGGCCAGGGGTGCTAGAATAAAGCAAGCTAACTCTGACTTCTGGGTTCCTTGCAGCCAAAAAGGGACTTCAGAAAAGCCTTCTCTTATAACTCCATGTTCAAAATTGTCCTTGAAAATCAAGGCAACAGCACCAAGCCTTCAACCTATTCCTTTTTAACGCCTAAAATGCAATTATTGCCCATTGTGCTATTTTCAAGCAGGTGATAAAATATCTGGATACTCAACATGTTCACAAACCCCAAACTGATTATCCTGCTACATTTTTTTTTCCAAATAATATACAGCAGGCATAAATTTCGTGTTGAAAATTTCATTTAACAGCATCTCCACATATTTTACTAATTTGTGTTGACTTAGAAGAACACGTGATTGTTGTGATCCTTGGCGACCTTGGTATACCACTGTTTCATCAGCGAGTTAAAATTTGTAATAATTTAAAAAACATTTCAGAAGCAATGTTCTAAGATACGTTTTAATCTTGGTTACGCTTTACTCTCTCTCTCTTTTTTTTTTTTTTTTTTTTTTTTTTTTTTTTTTTTTTTTTTTTTTTGAGACAGAGTCTTGCTCTGTTGCCCAAGTTGGAGTGCAGTGACATGATCTCGGCTCACTGCAACCTCCACCTCCCGGGTTCAAGCGATTTTCCTGCCTCAGCCTCCCGAGGAGCTGGGATTACAGGTATGCGCCACCACGCTCGGCTAATTTTAATATTTTTAGTAGAGACAGGGTTTCACTATGTTGGCCAGGCTGGTCTAGACCCCCTGACCTCAAGTGATACACCCACCCCGGCCTCCCAAAGTGCTGGGATTACAGGAGTCAGCCACTGTGCCCAGCTGCATTTTACTTTTGATTTTGCTGCAAAAGATAGTGAAACTTTGAGACTTTTAATCTAAGCAGTTGGCCTACAAATGTAGAGCTACGTCCTTCAAATGCCTGAAAAGACAATTTTTTTTTTCCTTTTCATCAGTTCAGCTGTTATCATGTCTGTGTTTACTATTAACATTTCTGTTTTAAAAGCCAGATCTGGAGGATTTTCATGACTAGTTTAGATCTGTCACTGGATCCTACATGGAATAGTTGTGCAATCCTCGCTGAGCTGCTACTGGCAGCTGTCTTTGGAACAATGTACAAATGGAAACTGCTTAAAACAATAGCCTGAAGCAATTACATGCCAATAACCGCTCAGAGACTACCACACCTGCTTTCCATCCATCCTTATTAACAAGCCTAATTCAAAATCAGAATTGATAGGAAGTAAACTAACCATTACCAGCTGGTACATGCAGATGTCTAAACAAATGTCATTGAGGTGGGAAACCTGGATTTACTATAACCTGCAAATATGTGCGTTGCAAGTTCAGAACCTTTTTTGCTCCATCGTGTTGGAGCCAAGATGATTTTATGTTCAACGTGCAAGCGTCTACTTTCTTCTGGAGTGAGAGAAGGAACATTTATAAAGCAAATTGATCTGTGCAAATCAAGGCTTTTCCTATTTCAGGAACCTTTTTGTATTCCTGATCCAGTCTCTAGAGATAAACAATTTTTAGCATCCCATCTTTGATAGGGGTCCGGGAACAGACCAATTTAGTGTGTAAAAACAGCGTTAATGACACTCATGATCTTCCTAGCTGTGAGGAATGGCGCACATTATCTGCAGAAATAATGGCATATGTGAGTATTAAGGCTGTGTTAAAAATACTCACAAACGTATCTATCATTCACGTTTCAATATGTTCTCAACTGAGAACAGCCTTCAAAGACAGACAGAAGGGAATGCTATCAAATAGTCCTCCTTTGCAGCTCACAATTGGGTTTTCGCCAGGGCAAGCCGTTGTACATTCCTTGAAGTCAGGTGCTCTGCTCAACAGAAGGTGTGCTGAATAACGTTACAGGCTCTGTTCCCGGGAGACGTGGAAGGTGAGAACTATGGAGGGGAAAGGGCAGAGGATCGAATGAGAGCGCATGGGTCAACCACAAACCTTTCCATTCTTTACAAATTGGAAATCTTTTAAAAAATACTTTTAATATGTTAGACACTTTTTTATGAGAGGAGTAATTTTGTTCTTATTCCATATGGTTTCAGAAGTGAAGGATCACCAATATTAGAAACTATGTGTGCATTGTGTGGGTGCACCTGCAACTGCATAGTTTTTATTCGGTGTAGAACAAGACACAAAGTCTTGCTCCAAAAGTCTTTAAACCATCAGAATGATGATACCAGATCATAGTGATTATATAGATAGCCTATTATAATTAGTTAATTCTTTAAATGTCTATTTTACAGGAAAAGTGAAAACACAAAACAACAGTATTTAGAAGTGAAGAGTTATTGACCAAAATGCTCATGGGGGAAAAAAACCAGAAATGTTAACAATGCAAGGACTTAGAGAAGCTGAAAATATTGCTTTTCTTCCTGATGGCTTATGTTTGAGGAACTGCCTCTTCTGGGAAGCCTTCCCTGGTTGCCTCATTTAAGAGCAAACTTCTCCCTCCTCACCATCACTATTTCTCTTGCTCTGTTTAATTTCCTCCCTCATCCTCATCACTTTCTGAAGCCAGATAAATGTTTCTTTTGTTTACAGCTGGTTGATGATGAGTCTTTCCCACTAGAAGATAAACAATATGATCCCCAAAAATCCCCTTTCTAACACTACATCCCTAAAAGCTAAAGGAAAACCTGAAAACAGCCATTCAGCAAAATTAGGAATAAAAACCAATACAACCCCCAAATGCTTCTACAAACTCATTGCTATCAATCAATGGATCTTGTTTTGTACATATTAACAAACAAAAAAGGGGCAGAATCTTTTTTCCTGCTATGATACATTTTTCACTTTTTAAATGCTGTAAATCTCATGCCAATTAGTTTTAGTGCATGTCATTGATCAAGGGTTAAATTGAAACTGTGGCTTCTCCAGGGTTTTCGGCTATTTTTTGGAGAAAAGCAATTTCAACATTCTGATGAGGGCTTTGCCATGCGAATTTGAGAAACTTTTAGCAACATTGATTACGCTTTTTGCTTAAATCTGGACATGCAATTATTATCATTTCAACCATTTCAACAGAGAGGATTATCACGTTGTCAAATCCATTATTTTTATAAACTATGAGTAATTGGTAATTAGTATACCATAACAATAATTATTGATATATAATTTTTCAAAAATCTCAAATATTGCTAAATTGTACTGTAGCTAAACAGAAAAGTGTTTAGTTCCATACATTTCACAGTAATACCGTTTGACTAAATCATTTAGAACTCTTTAAAACTGAGATCAGTAAGGACATCAGTAACAAATGGTGAAAAGTACTACAAATATTAAGTTGATTTTGATGTTATTATTTGATATGGTTTGGCTGTGTCCCCACCCAAATCTCATCTTGAATTGTAGCTCCCACAATTCCCACATGTCATGGGGGGGACCCGGTGGGAGGTAATTGAATCATGGGGGTGGGTCTTTCCTGTGCCGTTCTCATGATCATGAATAAGTCTCATGAGATCTGATGGTTTTATAAAGGGAAGTTCCCCTGCACAGGCTCTCTTGCCTGCAACCATGTAAGACGTCCCTTGCTCTTCCACCATGATTGTGAGGCCGCCCCAGCCCTGTGGAACTGTCAGTCAATTAAACCTCTTTCCTTTATAAATTACCCAGTCTCTGGTATTTCTTTATTAGTGGTGTGAGAACAGACTAATACCATTAAATCTCTTAAAGTAATTCACCTACCTTTTTATAGTAATAAAAATGATGATGACCATGATGACAATAAAATAACTAACACCGCATGTGTCAGGGTCTCTTCCAAGCACTACCTGTTGCTGTGTATTTTTTGACACAAAGTTGGCTATATGCATGTGTTAAGGTGTGCTTGTGGGTGCAATTGGTTTGTGATTATTGGCCAAGATCAAATCTGTGAGTCATCTGTTCTAGGGTACCTGACTTAATAAGGCCTTCCAAGGCACAGTGTTGTAGAATATTCTTTAATATTTTCCTCTACAGTGTTTATGGTATTAACTAATGAACCTGAAATTTATTTTGAACATTGTATTTAGCAAGGTCTCCCATTCTTGCCTAAATGGAGACCCACAATCTTTTCTGAATAACCCATCTTGTCCCCAGCTGATTAGAATCACCACCTTATTAAGTCTCATTTCCATTTATATACCAAGGTTGCATCACTAGTCTCCTCTGCAAATATGACTGAAAAATAGAAATAAGCAGAAAGATGGGGGTGGTGAGGATAAAAGGGGGGAAGACAAGAAACAGAGGGGAAAAAGGGAATGGAAAAGAGGAGGTGAAGGATGTAAATTTAATGGGAGTTTATTCTCAGCCAGAATGTTTTCCAAGGGAAACAGAATTTCAAATAGTTAGGGGTCTTCCTCCATTCTAATTGAGATCAGCAATTGAATAAGATTATTTTTCCCTGATTAGATATATGACATATGGCTCTAATAGGGAAAATATTAGATTTATAGTCAGAATATCCTAGTTCAAAATTTGGCCTTGCTCATTTGCAGAGCTTTAGTGAGAATCAGGTGATGTACAGCATGAGGCCATTTCTATATGTGCATTAGCAGAAATTGTATATTTTAGTTTTAAAGGTGATCAAATATATTGATATCATTGTCCTTTAAAAAGTAGCTAAGGACTAATATATATGTGTATATATATTTGAATATATTTGAAAACCACTAACGAGTCAAACATATCTATTTTAAATTCTGTATAACTGGGCCTCATGACCCTTGCTAAGGCACTAAGACTGCTCCATTGGGGGATATATTAGTAATTTGAAGCAAAATTAAACCAAACTCTGCACAAAAGAGAGAAAATGCCACATTAGACTCCTTTCCTGGCACAGTTGAGCAGGTACTTAAAAGCTTCAGGATTTGTGAGAGATTAACGACTAAGAGCTATCATCACTCAGTAATGAACAATAAATGTTAGAAACAGAAACCTTAATCCAAAATGTGGGTTCAAATTTACATTTGAACTCATTCTAGAATGTAAAATAATCCTATCCTATAACTGATGTATATTATTCTGTCTAAATTATTTATATTTTGCTCACAAACCGTCCATATTCATAAATATCATGTTTGGATTGATTTATTTTTGTCTTTATACTGCCTGTTCATCAAGCTCCCAGGCTTTTAATTAATCTGGATTTGGGGTATAAATTCTTTGTGCCTTGATTAATACCAAACAGGCTTTATTTAATTAAAGAGACAGACTGGTGAAAGACATTTTAATCAAAAATTTCATATGCATACAGTACATCTGTATTTAATACTCGGAAAGGGGAAAAATCCCTGATTTATTGTATTTATTTTTTAAATGTTTGAATAAAGCAATAGTTCTATTTCCTGTGATGAAACCCTTTATGTTCCTCCTTCATCTTAAAGCTGTCACCGCGCGGAACATAAAGAACAGGCCAAGACCAGTGCAGGCATCGACGACTTTCTCCATTCAGAGCCTCCGCGCATCCCAAATAAATAAACACATCAAAACGTGCAAATACTTCCTTAAGTTTTCTTGGTTCCGATCGCCCTGTTTAGGCCTCTTGCGGGTGTTATTTTTCACAAAATGTCAGTGAGGAAGTGAAACTCAATCCTAAAATTTAAGGGGCTCATCATGGTTTTGAATGCGTGATTTTATGCTGTTGAAAATGGGCAGCCTGTTAAAATCAGTATTTCATTCATAGACATCTTGATGAAAAGGTTTTCTGTAATTGCACTGAAATCCAATCGTTGTTTTAGAGCATGATTTACATAACATTTTCTTCATCAAGATACCGTGTAAAGCCACAGGGCTCATTGCATATAAGTCTGGAGGGCTGGTTGGCTGAGCGTAGTACTGGGACCAGCAGCTCAGAACATGTTAGAAACGCAGATCTTGAGCTCTATTCCACACCTGCACACTCAGAAACTCCAGGGAAGAGACCCAGCACTCTGGTTTTAACAAACCTTCCGGATGATTCTAAAGCACACCAGCACAGCGGCTTAACACACACAAAAAGCCCTAACAGGTGTTTTCTTGAAATGCTTCTCCAACCATAACCGATGGGTGGGAACAAGACGTGTGTTCAAGAAACAGAAGATGAGAACCACCGATTTCACCGATTTCACCGAAAGGACTGAGCTGTTTCTGAGGACAGGGGGGCAGACCAGGGGCTGCAGGGATGAAAGCATAACCCAGATGGAACGCATCCTCAGTCCCTATTTCCCGGGGAGACTCTGCGGGCCTCCGTTCAGTTTCATTTTGAAGGACAGGTGCAGCACCTAAAGCTCACCCAGTCTATTCATCTCAGCATTCAGGAGACTCCAGTAATTCTGGAACGTGTCCTTAGAAGAACAAACTGTGCTACACGCACACGCGTGGGCCGCAGGGCTGGGCAGGGCACAGAGGGAGAGGCAAACCGTTCCCAGGCACCCCTGGATCTCACGGCATCCCCGAAGTCCGCTGCTGTGGGATCTGATGGTGGAGGCAGTAGGGTCATGGGATCTGAGAGGGGTTGTAAGTCATCAGGGGGGTCTTCCTCCCCACAGCTTGGAAACTTATTATTCGTATACAAAAGCAGTGAGTTCAACAACAGCAGCAGCATGTGTCCAAAGCAATTCAGTGGAAGAAAGGTACTGGCATTTCTTCTTCTTCTTCTTCTTTTTTCAGTAGGTCCCATTAAAGGATACTTAGATTTGGGAATGACAGCATTTCCCAACGTGGCTGCATTACTCGGTGTTTCTCCAATGCAACAGAAGGAATTGCATAACAGAGAAATGCCCTAGCTTCTTTTAAAGAGACTTTGAATTACATCAACTCAGAGCAGCTATAGTAGCTGCAGAGAAACTGAGAACTCAACATGAAATTTAAAGGAATTAGAATTCCAATCCACATATTTAAGGAGCGCTGAGAACTATAAAGGCATGTTATGTTTGTAAACTAGAACTGGAAACTATAAGGTATCAAAGCAGTGCCACAGCACTTGGTAACCCTAGACCTAAGGTTAAAAGTACAATGCTGATGTTAAAACGTATATTGTCAGTAATTTGCATAGGGATATAGTTTAGAGTTTTAAAGCATGAGATTCTTGTCATAAGATATGCTCAGTTTTTTAAATACTGTTTCAGGTAAATATGCTCAAATAAGTTGTTTGTATCAGTCACTCTCCTGTTTCTCAGCACACTGGGTTGAGTATGAGATTGACCTTCACAGAGTGTAGGCCCAGGAAGAAGACACTGCAGATATACCGCCCTTGCTGAATACAAGGAACGCGTTACCTGCAACAAACCTTTCGGAGCATTGTGTTTTAATGGAAAAGTTTCTTGCCAGGTGCAGTGGCTCACATCTGTAATCCCAGCACTTTGGGAGGCCGAGATGGGAGGATCATTTGAGCCCTGGAGGTCAAGGCTGCAGTGAACCATGATGGCACCACAGCACTCCAGCCCTGGGTGACAGAGAAGGACACTGTCTCAAATAAAATAAAAAAACAAACAAAAAAACCACAAAGTTTCTAAAAGGCACATTCTTTAAGTTAAGAGAGTAAAGGCGTGGTTTGGGAAAATAAAATGGCTTTCAGCCAGCTACTATCCAAGCTTCTCCTCCTGTAAGTATTTTCTGATCAGTTCATTGGGTATGTGTGTTTCTATTTTGAACAGCACTTCTTCTTTTATTTAATTTTGCATGATATTTGAATACTTACCTCTCTGGTAAAGTTAATTCATCCATCCAAAAGATGCAATTATTTCCAAAATCAAAATGACAAGGGAATGTCATCATTCAAAGGGAAACAGGCCTCGGACTGTATCTGTCCACAGTTCTAATATTTGTCAAGCACTGGAAAGGATGGAACAGTTACGTGCAATTCTAAAAATAAAGGGATTTGTGTAAAATGTATCTTTCTTTGTGAACTCTGTGTATTCAAAGAATATAGGTGTTTCATCCAGAGTAATATCAGTATGATATCAAAAGAAAAGGGAATACATTTTTGCCATTTATGCAGATTTTACACATGAAATAACAGGACCCAAAACATTAATGAAATAACAGTACCCAAAAATGTGAAATAACATGACACAAAACATTAATGAAATCTGGTCTTCTGTGCAAAAGCGGAAAGAAAACACATCTATATATTTTAAATTCCCAGAGACATTACATGCTCTATGTGTGTCCTCATTTGTCACCCCCCAAAATAACCTCAGACCCCCAGAGGCCTGGCCGGACACCCTGACTTTCCAGGCCCTCATTCTGACCTTATGAGGCTGCGTCCCTCCACATGAAGGAAGGTGGTTTCTGGGAGCTGAAGCCTGGAACTTTCCTGTCCAAATGGCAGACAGGGTGTTTTTAACGTCCTGTGGATTGATTCTGTCTGAACATGCCACGTTATTCATCATTCTCACAGTCATTTCTGTAGGATCTGGGCCGGACTCAGCAGCACTCACACCAACAAGCATGGGTCTGCAGAGCCTGCAGCCAGTCAAAAGCCATACAGAAATGGCTGGCCCTGGGCTCCGGTGTGGATCAGTGGGCTCGCGGGGAGCCCTGGGAGAGGGTCTGTGCAGTTTTCACTGTGAAAACGCTGCTAGTACACACATAATCCTGAAAGGAACGGGGAAGAGAGGAGATTGTACAGCTACAGGCAAGAGCTGTGCTGTTTCAGAGATCTCCCAGCAGACGTCCGAGCACGCATGGCTCTGGCCCAAACAAAGAGGCTTAACTTGCTGTTTAACCAAAAGGATTGAGTCGGCTGTTAGGTCAAGCAGTGACCAGGGATGGAACAGCCCAGAAATTGTTGTCCAAACAGCTTACAGGCACAGCCGGCCACACGTGGCTTCCTCCACAGAACCGATTCGGGGAGAGAAGGCTACAGGAGACAGCAGCAGGAGCTGTGTGTGTGTGTTGGGGGTGGGGGGTTTCTCACAACCTGCACGGATCGTGTCCAGCACCTCCGAGGCCTGGGATGTCTCATTCCCATCAGGGTGTGGACTCAACTCAAGGTGTCCACGGGAAAACAGCTTCTAAAATCTTCCCCGCTGTATTCACATGTCTCCCATAAATACCCTCAGCCTTTGCCTTCCATTCTTTTTATGTTTTGTAAAAACAGTTGATTTTTCTGGATTTTAAAAAATTTTTAAATTGTATTTTACTTTTTATTTATTTATAATGGGTTACATAATAATCATACACATTTATGGGTTACAAGTTAATGTCCTGACACATGTGTAAGCTGTTTAAGGATCAAATCAGCCTATCTTCTTAAACCTTTATCATTTCTTTGTGATGACAACATTCAAAAACCTCTTTTCCAGTTATTTTGAAATATAAAATACGCTATTGTTAACCAGTCACCCTGCTGTGCACTAGAACACCAGGACTTGTTCCTCCTCTTTCGATCTAATGGGAACTTTGTCCCCTTTGACCAATTTCTCCCTATTCTCTCCTCTCCTCAATCCTCCTCATCCCCTGAAACCATTATTCTACTTTCTACTTGTACGAGATCAACTTTTTAGACTCCACATATGAGCAAAAGCATGCAATATTGGTCTTTCTGTTCCTCGCTTATTTCACTTAAGGTTCTCTAGTTTCACCCCAGAAACTATGGCTGCAAACAATAGGATTTCATTCTTCTTATAGCCAAATAATCACATTCCATGGTGTATACGTACCACATGTTATTTATCCATGCATCCACTGATAGACGCTGAAATCCATTCCGCACTTTGGCTGTTGTGAATAGTACTGCAAAAAACAAGGGGGTGTGAAGGCTCTTTGACACACGGATTTTTTTTCCTTTGGGTAGGTACATAGTAGTTAGATTGCTGGATCGAATGATAGTTCTATTTTTTTTATTTTTGGGAACCTCCTTACTGTTTTCCATAATGGGTGTAATAACTCACATTCCCACCAGCAGTGTGTAAGGGTTCCCTTTTATCCATATCCTTGCCAACACTTGTTCTCTTTTGATTTCTATTTTTTGAGACGGAGTCTCACTCTGTCACCAAGGCTGGAGTGCAGTGGCACAATCTTGGCTCACTGCAACCTCCGCCTCCTGGGTTCAAGTGATTCTCCTGCCTCAGCCACCCGAGTAGCTAGGATTACAGGCACATGCCACCACACCTGGCTTTTTTTTTTTTTTTTTACATTTTTGGTACAGATGGGTTTCACCATGTTGGCCAGGCTGGTCTCGAACTCCTGACCTCAAGTGATCTGCCCACTTCGTCCTCCCAAAGTGCTGGGATTACAGGTGCAAGTCACCTCACCTGGCCTGATTTCTTGATAGTAGCTCTTTTGACTGGAGTGAGATGATACCTCATGGACTTCCTCCTTCCCTCCAAGTGAACACCAGTGAGGAAATGTTGACCTTGACCATACCTCCTTGCAAAATTCCAATGGGGGGCAGTGGTTTACCAGCTGCAAGATGAGGGGGCAATTTCTCAAAAATTGATATGTTTAGCTGATATATGTTCCAGGCCATTCCTGTGTTGTTATAAAGAAATACCTGAGACTGGGTAATGTATAAAGAAAAAAAGGTTTAATTGGCTCTGGGTTCTGAATGCTGAACAAGCATGGTACTGGCACCAGCTCAGCTTACAATCATGGCAGGAGGAGATGCAGGGGCAGGAACATCACATGAGGAGAGTGGGAGCATGAGAAAGAGTGGGGGAGGTGCCACATTCTGTTAAACAACCAGATCTCCTGTGAACTGTGTGAGAACTCATCACCAAGGGCATGGCCCAAGCCATTCATGGGGGATCCACCCCATGATCCAAACACCTCCACCATGCCCCACCTCCAACACTGGGGATCACACTTCAACATGAGATTTGGGAGCCATGCACATCCAAACTGTATCAATATACTTGCACCTATCTTCATTGCTCATTGCAAATAAATATCGAACATACGGATTTACGGGATTCAGCTGGCTGGAGGTCAGAGTTCAGAGACTCTCAGAGACATTATCCGAGTGATTAACCAAGTAAAAAGCTGTGACCCCCCCAGAACCAAACACCTCTTTTTTCTAAATTCTAACTCACACATTCCAGATTCTCCCAAACCAAGCACATCCCAGTGTAGTGAAAGCACCCTCGGGAGGCATCACTGGAAAGTCCAAGGCCCTTCCAGAAAGGGGGGCTCTCTTTGTGCCAATGTTTTGCTCCTGTGCTTCAGCTTATCAATAAACTTGGTGCAGGCAGACATTTGTACCTAAGCGAGACTGCTGGATGTCCCAGGCTTCCACGGTCCTTCACCTGTCTCATCAAAGTGTGATTTTTGGCAATGCTATTATTTAAAATACTTTAACAGATTGAAGATTAAAGACGTATACCTCTCCCAACTCTTTAGGTGTGATATATTAGGTATATTACCTTCCTGCAGATGATATTATTTGTAAGGCTATGTTTATAGGGAATGTAAACTTGTTACATGCAGAAATTATAAAAAGTCAGTGGGGTGTTTACTAGATGCATTCCCAAGTATGAATACAGAAGATGCATATTTTTTTCACACTCTTCACTGATATAGCATCCCTTAGTTGCCTTTCCTAGAATGAATGTTATGTTCTAGAAGTAGCATGTAGGTGGGTCAGAGGTGACTCGTCTCAGTGTCTGTGGAAGTTGTAGAGGTGGAAGGTGAAAATGCTAGTTAATGTTATTTGTGAAAGCAACTAACTTGAAAATGTTCTTTTTCTCCTTTTATCTTTTTCTTAAGTTTCCTTCTTCTCCAGACAATTTTCTTCTATATCACCGTTGTTAGTAACTATGGCTGTTGGAAAGGCATAAAACACCATGCATCCACTTTAACACTATTTAAGTGATATTTCTACCTTTGCATCATAGAGCCACTCTGCACAAATGAAGGCATAAATTCAAGGGGCCCCTTTGGTGTTTGTTGATGCCGATGGTATGTCACTTGCAGGTTGCCCTTTCGAGTTTGGCTTACAAAATTGAGGAAGATGAAAATCCTCAAATCAAGGTAGTTAGCAGTATATCAGGACAGAGAAAAATAAGCAATTGTCTACAATTAAGAAAGACAAGCATTTGAAGACAAAGAAATTCAACAAAAGCTAAGGGAGGACAAAGCAGGATTCTCAAACCACCTGTGCAGAGTGAGAGAAAGCATCTCGGAGGGGCAGAAAGTTGAGGGGTGTGAGCCATGATGTTGAAAGTTCAGCCAGTGGAAAATGGTGAATGTGAATCCTAAAACATGGAACCCTATCCACGGAGCCAGCCATCCTTGTCTTCAACAAGACAACTTCCAAATAAGGAAAGAGTTTTCTCCTAGGTGAACGGTGCACGTTCCATCAAGGATGAGGGCTTCAAAACAGTTCCCATGACCCTCACCCTCAGGAAACATTAGGGAGAGAAATAGGATGGTAAAAATTCAGGTGTGCAGTGACTTAAACTAGGGACAAGAGGAGCACAGAGAAAGGTCTCACGAGTGCATGCATGGGCACCTGCCTGAGTACATGTTGCTGGAGTGTATTTCTGGTGGATTTTAAATAAAAAGTCAACGTCAAATCAATATTTATGGGTGCGGCTGTTTGACAGGAAATCATTCTAGGAAAAAATGCACATAGAATTTTATCTTTGAGGAAAAAAAAGAGCAGCAGACACTTTGGGGTATTTGTCTTTGAGATGATTTTGTTTTTCTAAAGGGTTTAACTGCAAAAGAGATTGATCTATTTACAAGGGGTGCTAACTCAGGTAGTTGGCAATTCTGCTGAGACTTAGTGAAATAGCAAAATACGGTACTGCCCAGGGTGTGGAGGATGCTTAGGGATTAACGGAGCTTCTCGAGTAAGGATCTAGTTGTGATTATGACAGGAACAGGGTCAGGGTGGGGGGATATTGATTGGCCCATTACTAGATATGGCTGCACAAATTATATGGAAGCTTCTAAACGCAAGGTTTAGAACAGAAACATTATAAGGCAAATCACTGGGGAAATTTATCTGGGTTTAAAGTTTAGTAAGATGCTGAAGAAGAGAAAGAGAAAGATGGATCTGAAATCATACAGTCACTCCCTAATTTATAGGTTTTAAAAGTAAACGATATGAATAGGAACAAATAACGATGATTATTACTAGTATTGCATCTACAGCCATGCTTATTGACTATTAGATTCAGTTTTGGTTTCCCAATGTTTTCTCCAATATTCTATAGTTTCCATTCTCCCTCATTCAATTTAATAGCAAATACTTTTTAGAAACTCACTTCTATCAAGTCCCTTCAACACTTTCAATATATTTTCAAAAATATATGTTTCTTTTACTGTATTTTATCAATTTGCATTGTATTTAAAGTAGATAACTACAGACATATTTCTGCAAATTACCTTCCTTACATAAGAGAGAACCCAAGCTCACAAAATGCTTGCTCTCTTTATTTTTATTTTTATTTATTTATTTTTTATTTTTATTTTTTGAGATAGGGCGATATGGTTTAGCTCTATGTCCTCACCCAAATCTCATGCTGAAATGTAATCCCTATGAGTTATGGGAGTGGCCTGGTGGGAGGTGATTGAATCATGGGGGAAGATTTCTGCTTGCTGTTCTCTTGATAGAGTTATCAAAGATCTGGTTGTTTGAAAGTATGTAACATTTCCCCCTTAGCTCTCTCTCCTGCTTTGACATGTGAAGATGTGCTTGTTTCCCCTTCTCCTTCCGCCATGATTGTAAGTTTCCTGAGGCCTCCCAGCCATGCTTCCTGTACCGCCTGTGGAACTGTGAGTCAATAAAGCCTCTTTTCTTCATGAATTACCCAGTATCAGGTAGTTCTTTATAGCAATTTGAGAATGGACTAATGCATAGAGTCTTGCTCTATCTCTCAGGCTGTAGTGCAGTGGTGCAATCTTGGCTCACTACAACCTTCACCACCCAGGCTCACGCAATCCTCCCACCTCAACCTCCAGAGTAGCTGGGACCACAAGTGTGCACCGCCACACCCAGCAGATTTTTGTATTTTTGTAGACAGAGGGTTTCACCTTGTTGCCCAGGCTGATCTTAAACTCGTGAGCTCAAGGGATCAGCCCACATCAGCCTCCCAAAGTGCTGGGAGTATAAGCATGAGCCACCACACCGGCCTCTTTTTCATTAGATTGGTGCAAAAGTAATTGCACCAAAAACCGCAATTTCTTTTGCACCAGCCCAATAATTCTAATTCTCCCCAAGTTCATTCTTATGCCAAAGGAGAGAGTTACCTTTCAGTTTTGTGTAACATATGTAGCTTCCGTCCAAAACTTACAGTATTCCCTCACACAAAGTGAATAATAGCTTGCCTATGAAAGACTGCCAAGCCATATTTGCTAAAATGAATTTCTAACAAAGGATACTTATTCCAAAGGTGTAAGACACATTATTTCTAGTGTTTAGCTAAGGAAAGTCCCTTGTGTCTGTGGGCATACACTTTCATGGACTCCTCCCCTAACATACCTCCACAAGCACCCAACAGAGGTGTGGGTTTGGGCAGAGTGATCATTGAACTTACTGTCCAAAGTGTGTACTGTTGAGTGTAAAAGATCAATAAACAAAATTATATTTTAAAAATACATGGACCAATACATTTTTCTGTTTATATTGGTGGATATATGGAAACCTATTTTTTCAAATGAAATTCTTTCTAAAATATATTCTTGTACGATGAATGTATGTGAAACTTCTTTAGTTTAATTAAATAAATACTAAAATGAGAAACAAAAACACATTTTTCCTGCTAAGTATCCACATGCTTGAATTACTTTCTTGGTTACATCTCTCTTTAATAGTGTCGTGATAACAGTCTGAATAATTTATTTTTTTAATATAGCCTTGTTATTTTTATGTTTTCATAAAATTGCCTGTAGTCATCTTTTAAATGTCATATGAAGCTGTTTATACCATCAGTTTAGCCCTCTTTGTAGAAGATAATTTTAACTGAGAAAATATTCTCACAATGCTGAGGGCTAAAAAGAAATACTCTCAATCCTAAATTATTTTTATTGAAAATACTTGAAGTATCAGCAAAACTTTTTGAAAAGTATCTGCTTTTGCATTTTGTTACATTACCTTCCATTAATAGACTATTTTAACAGGGGAAAACTAGTCAAATAGTGTATTCCATTTATGATTATATTGAATGGCTCATATGATTTAGCCATTGAGAACTAACAGGACTTCCCAATATTATTCCATTCCAGGAAAGGATATACAACTAAAATATATTCATTTATTTAATTAAAAGTAGTAGTTCTGACTAAAGCTTTTTCCCATGACTGAGGGATCACAAAACTGAATTTTAAACTTAAATATTATACACATTTGAGCTTCCATTATTTGAGTCCATATTTTGCTTTTATCTGTATAAACTACAATACTTTCCTTTTTGAAAGCTTTGCCTTTAGTATTGCAATTAGTTTAAAGCTTCCAACAGAAGTATTTTGGAGTTAATTCATTGAATACTTTGATTAAACAATTTTAATTTTTTTGACCAAAATGCGACAAAAATTGGAATACTTGTTTCTAAATAAGAATTAATAGTAATTATGATCATAAGACAAACAATGCCACATAGGAAACTTAGAAAGCGATAGCATTTCCTCACACATATTTCCCACACTGCCTTCCACCTGTAGGTCATACACACAATCTTAGTCCATTTTGTGTTGCTATAAATAATTATCTGAGGTTTAGCAATTTATATTTTTAAAAAAGAGGTTTATTTGGCTCACAGTTCTGCAGGCTGTACATGGAGCATGATGTTAGCTTCTGCTAGGCTTCTGGTGAGGACTTCTGTTCTGAGTCAAGACATAGCAAAAATGTTTGAAGAGGAAGTGGGCACATGCAAAGAGTGACCAAACAGCAGGAGTACCCTCTCTTTACAACAACCCATTCTCAGGAGGAGTCCCCTCAGGACTACTCCAACTTCAGGAGAGTGAGAACTTCCTACCAGGACAATAGCCCCAAGCCATTCATGAGGAATTTGTCCCTATGATCCAGACATGTCCTACTAGACACTCCTCGAACACTGCCCACAGTGGGAACAAATCGCAACTTGATATCTGATGAAAACAAATAAACAATAACAACACCTAACTTATAATTTCTCAGGCCCCCTGATGCTGTCCACTCCTGCATTGACCTGAAACATTTGTGCATCTTGTTTGGCTCAAGTGTACAGCACAGGTATGGGCAAGAGGCACTTCCCCAGGCCACGGTAGCTAGGCTGCTTACGTGAAAGCCACTGTGTTCTATCAGCAAACATCCTGCTCACTCTGCTCAAAGGCTGGTGCTGTTTCTGCTGTACCAGCAGATGACGTAGACAAGAGAACGTGGTCGTGAATGCCTGCACTGGATTTATCATGTGCCAAGTGATGTCTCCACTGGGTCGAGCTGCTATAGCAAAATTCCACAGACTGCCTGGCAGAAACAACAAACGCTGATTTCTCACCATTCTGGAGTCTGGGAAGTCCAAAATCAAAGTGCCAGCAGATTGAGTTCTTAGTGAGGGCCTTCTTTCTGGTTCACAGAAGATGCTTTCTTGCCATATCTTCATATGGTAGAGAGAGAGCTCTGGCCTCTTTTTACAAGAAAATCCACCATCATGACCTCATCCACAGCTACCTGCCAGAGGCCTCGACCATTCCACTTCCTAAAACCGTTCCAAGGGAGATTAGGAATTCAACATATGAATCTGGGGGCACAAGCATTCAGTCCATAACAAGTGAAAATGCTTCTTGCATATGGATGTCAATGATAGATTTGGGAAGAGCATGGAGGAGGTCCTCCAAACCCATTCTGATTATCCTAATGCAACTACCAGTATCCAAAGTAGTTAAAGTTGAAATACCTGTGAAATATGTTAGACTGAGTGGCATGCCAGGGCAACCAGGGTAACATGGGCAGATACCAGGTAGACCAGGGCATTTGGATGCCCTAGATGAAGCTTTCTTATTTGGGGCTTGCCCAACTGAGATAGGGAAGAGATCTGTGTCGTGAATTAAACAGGCATAGTGACAGCTTTGACTATGGTTTCATCCTCAGTGTAGGAAGTAGAGTTCAGAGTCATAGAGTTAAAACAAATGGAAATAATGCCAACAGAGTTTGGTTGAAATGATTCCATAGAAAATACATGGGGTGCCTCACAGTTACAAGGCTAGCATGATTGCCTTGTAACATAAAAATCTAAACTCATTACATGAATTAAAAACAAATGCAAAGCTAATATCACAAACGTTACTGAGCATGAAATGGCCAGCTAATCCATTTAACATACACACTTCATTGAAGATTTGCAAAGAAACAATGAAATGAAGCTTAGTCAGTTTCATTGCTTCCTAAGTTTCATGGAGCTTTTTTTTTCAGTTCTGAAACTTTAATTTTAAAGCACAATAATATGTTAAGCTATTGATTAAATTTGCAATGCACTCCTTGTTCCTCAGATTATAATAATTTACGTTCATTTAGATTATATTTTCTAATTTTCTTAACAACAAAAAGCAATTTTTACAAGGATAACTCATTGTGATGATGTTTTATGAAGAATCTTGCTAGGACTTCCATGAGGACAGAATTTATCAAAACCTACAAAACCAATTTTTATTAATAATAGAAATCAATATGAAACTTTTTAAATCTATACAATATGATCATTTTGGTATCTGAAGCAAAATATTTTAAGTCGCTGCTTGTGCAAAGAGATTCATCGACAGAACCCCGAATAGGAAAAGAAGGTAGATGTTGGCCCCAATCAGTCTTTGCTAAGTTTGTCCTCTGTCCATTAGGGCCCCCAAGTTCTTGTCTCCTTCCAATGCATCTACACAGAAGTCTGGACTTCCATATCCAACTACAAATTTGCTATTTCCACTTGAACTTGAACAGAACTTTCAGAATCAGCATGCTCCAGAATGTGTTCCTGGCCTCCCCAGATCTCTTCCACTCAGTCTTTCACATCTCAATTCTCAAACGTTTCACCATCTACCTGAGCATCCTTTCCTCCCAGACAAAAAGCCTCCCTCCCTCCCTTCCTTCCTTCCTTCCTTTTCTCTCTCTTTCTTTTTCTTTCTTTCCTTTTCTTTCTCTCTTTTCTCTATTTCTCTTTCTTTTCCTTTCTTCCTTTCTCTATTTCTCTTTCTTTTCCCTCCCTTCCTTCCTTTTTCTTTCTCTCTTTTCTCTATTTTTCTTTTACTTTTTTATATCACATTTATCTTTCAAAAAACTCTTCTGGGCCAATCTTACACGTATTGTCAGAACCCAAAGCCACCATGCCCATCTCTTGGGTGGCTACCTAAGGCTCCTCTCGAGTTTCCTAGCAACCACCTCTCCCCGGGCAGTCTGTCTTATCAAGACAGAAACCTGAGGTATCAGACCATGACTCTCCTCTGCTCAGGGTCCTTCATGCTCTCTGCTGGCCTCCCGGGGACCTCCAGCCTCCCTCTGGCCTTCTTTCCTATATCTCTCCAATGTGCTTACCTGCTGCTGTCTTTCCAGCCTCCTCGCTATACCTTCAGCAAACCAAAGCATTCCCCCGACTGGGTGTCTCTGCATAGCTGTGTCCTGGTCCTGGAGACTCAGTTCCCAGGGGCCACCTGACCAAGCCCCATCCCTCCTTAGGCTTCCCTCAAGTCTCCACTTTGAAAAGGGCTGTGCTAAGCACCCTATTTAATACGGAATATGCCCCTTCTCTCAGACCCACAACTGCAATCCTGCATGTTCACTCTGCTTTAGTTTTTAAAATCACTCTAACTAGTCTCTGATGTACTTTATAAATGACTTATTTATCATGTTTAGTATTCACTGTGTGTCTCCTCTGCAATAATGGAGCATCCAGGAAAGCTCAGGGTTTTGTTGTAATTTTATGAAAATTTCCAATTGCTTAAGACAAGGTTGAGCACATTGGAAGTGCAGAAAAACTGTGTTTCAGAAGAGGGTTGAATAAATTAATGAATAAATTGATTTGTCACAAATTACCTGTGTGACTATAGACAGATCATGTTCTTTCTTCCGTAGAAAACAATAAACAGTAAGTATAACTAACTCGAAATACACAAGCATAACACATAAAATAACAATAGTATAAATTATTTCAAAAACGTAAGTAAAATTCAACAATGTTGAAGGTTATGTCTTTAAGTTAATGCCATCCTCACTTCCAATACTGTCATCCACTTACAAGTTGTGTTAATTGAAGTTGAGAAACGTCAGGGAGAGACCATAAGGAAAACTTCTGGTGGGATTAGGGCTTTATGAGGCATCTTGGCTAAGCTACATGGAAGAACCAAACTTAACTATAACAACTGTGCCAACGATCTCAGAATTCAGCAATGCCTCTAAATCCCGAACCAGCAAATACCCACAGCTGTGGTCACTTCTACCAACAATCTACCATTTTATGTTGTTGTTTTTTTCTCAGTCTGTTCTTGCTGTAATAATAGAGTATCATGTACCGGGTGGCTTATAAACAACAGACATTTATTTCCTGCAGTCTGGAGGCTGAAAAGTTCAAAATCAAGGCAGATTTGGTGTTTGGTGAGGGCCTGCTCCCTGAAGGTTCATAGACGGTGCCTTCTGGCTGTGTCTTCACGCAGTGGAAGGGGAGAAGGAGCTCTCTGGGGTCCCTCCTATGGGGGCTCCTGTGAGCTGTGTCTTCACATGGTGGAAGGGGAGAAGGAGCTATCTGGGGTCCCTCCTCTGGGGCCACTGATCCTATTCATGGGGGTTCCTGTGAGCTGTGTCCCCACATGGTGGAAGGGGAGAAGGAGCTCTCTGGAGTCCTACTATAGGGGCACTGATTCTATTCATGGGGCTCTACCCTCTTGACCTCATTACCTCCCAAGGCCCCATTTGGTAACACCATTTGGTAACACCTTGATGATTAGGTCTCAATATATGAGTTTGGGAATGACACAAACATTCAGATAATAGTAACATTCATTCAAGGATGTTTTTAAATAGTTTTTATTTTAAAACAGCTTTGTATTTACAGAATTATTGTGAAGATATTACAGAGTCCTCCAGTACCCTGCACTCAGCTTTCTTTATTACTTATTAATATAACACATTTGCCACAATTAACAAACTAAAATTAATATATGATGATTAAATCCAGTCAATCATTTATTTAGAGTCCCTGTTTATGCTTAGTGGCCTTTTTCAGTTCCACTCTCTTACCTGGGATATCACATTCTCTTTAGAAGTCCTATCTCCCTAGCTTCTCTTGGCTGACACAGTTCCTCAGAATTTCCTTGTTTTGATGACTTTGGCAGCTTTATGGAACACTGATAAGGTATTTTGTTGTTATTTCTTGGCCCTTGTAACTGACAGAACTGTGAGATATGTATTTATACAAACGCATATACATACATATATCTAAATAATTTTTATGTAAACATCTTTACCTATATTAAGCTGAGCCAGATCAGCCATACTTATGTCAACATTTACCCATCACCGCGTGTGTCCTCTGGCTTCTTCCCTCCTCAGGAACCACTCACTCTGCAGAGAGAAGCCTAACTCCCACCACCTGCTGCCCATTCATGACATTGTTTAATTCCAGTAGGCATATAGAAGTTTCTGGAATAGTGAATCCTTATCCTCCTGGGGAAGAACGTTATCAAAGATAGCCGTGCTTATTCATAGCTCCTTTTTTCACTATTACTACAAAAGCTTTTCCAAAGTTACTTAGGTCAGCACCCATTTCCTCCACTCCTTTAAGTGAGATAATTTTATATATTTCAGTAAACTTAGATGTATTTGTCATGTTATACATTCAAACCTGGTATCCACAACTTCTTCAATGATTTATTTTTATTTGCATACATTAAGGTTCACTATTTCTATTGTGAAGTTCTACGAACTATGTCAAATGCTCAGTGTAACCGTCCTTACACTGTCCTGCAGAACAGATTCATTCATCAGCCACAGTTCCCTGACCTGCTCCACCTCTTCAACTCTCCTCACCTTCCTGCTACCCTGGAAAAAAAGGGATATTTTCTTATGTTTACATTTTTAAACATTTTTTTTCTCCTTTTTGTTGAGATAGGGTTTCATTCTGTTGCCCAGGCTGGAGTGTGGTGTCATGACCTGAAGCCTTGGCCTCCCAGGCTCAAGTGATCCTCCTGCCTCAGCCTCCCAAGTAGCTGGGGCCACAAGTGCACACCACTGTGCCTGCCTATTTTTTTATTTTACTTTTTTTGTAGAGACATGGTTCCGTTACGTTGCCCAGGCTGGCCTCAAACTCCCCGGCTCAAACAATCCTTTCACCTCGGCCTCACAAAGTTCTGGGATTACAGGTGTGAGCCACCATGACTGGCCTAGATGAATATTTTCTATCATTACAATAGTTTTGCCTTTGAGAAATGCATGTAATTGGAAACATCAATATGGACCTTTTAAAAGACTGACTTCTTTCACTAGTACACGTTTATGTTTCATCATCTTCTTTGTGGCTTAATAGCTCATTTCTTTTCATTACTGAACAACCGTGTATTTTACAGATGTGACACAGACTGAAATCAGCACATCTATTAAATTTCATTTTCTTCAAGTTTTCAGCTCCTATAAAATAAGCTGCTGTAAACTTTAGAGTGGGTTTTTGTGATGGCATTTGTTTTTAAATAAGTTGGACAAATACCTACAAGCACAATTGTTGAATCATATAAGACTGTTTTTAATTGTATATGCAACTGCCAAATTTCTTCCAAAGTTGCTGAACTATTTTTCATGCCATCAGAAATAAATGAGAATTCTTGTTGCTTCATGTCCTGGCCAAGAGTTGGTATTATCAATTTTTTGGATTTTAGCATCTCTAATAGACATGTACCTTTCTGATAGGCAAGTCATTATTGTTTTCATTTGGCATTTTCTAGTGAAGAAGAATAATAATTAGCATTGATAAGCTTGTTTTTCATTTGTGTATCCCTTTACTAAGGTTTCTGTTAGATACTTAAAAAGGTTTTATCTATTTTTAGTTGGATTATTTTCTTACTGTGAAAATTAACATGTTCTTTGTATAATTTGGATACAAGCTCTTTAACATATGTGTTTTGGCAAATATTTCCTCCCAGTCTTTAACTGTTTTTGTTGTGTTTTGGTTTGTTTTTCATTCTGTCAACTGTTTCTTCCACAGGGCAGAAGCTTTCAATTTTAATACAATACGATTAATCATTTTTTTCTTTCACACATTGAGCAATTGATGTTGTATCTAATAATTTATCACCAAATCCAAGCTCACATAGATTTTCTTCTATATTTTCTTTGAGAACTTTTAGAATTTTACATTTTATATTTTGGTCTTTGGTTCACCTTGAGTTAACTTTTGTGATGATATAGATTCATTTTTAAACATAGATCTCCAATAGTTCCAGCACCATTTGTTGAAGATGTTATATCTTTCCTCTATTGAATTGTCTTTGCTCCCTTTGCAAATACAGTTTATATTTGTGTGGCTCTCTTTCTGAGGTCTCTGTCCTGTTTCATGGATCTATTTGTGTATTCTGTCAACATTACCATGCTATATTGATCATTGTAGCTTCATAATAAATCTCAAAATCAAGTAATGTGAGTCCCCCAACTTTGTTCTTTATTATTACGTTGGCTGTTCTAGGTCTTTCCCTCTTGCATGTGGACTTCAGAATGCTTGTTGGTATCTACACAGTAGCTTGCTGAGATTTGACTGTGATTTCATTCAATGTGTGGATCAAGTTGGAAATAACTGACATTTTAACAACGTGGAGTCTTCTATCCTATGAATGCGTAAACTCTCCCATTTATTTATTTAGATCTGGGATTTCTGTCTAGTTTCCTGCATACACTTCCTGTTCATATTATATTTTGTTAGATTTATACCTATGTTTTTCATTTATTTTGATGTGATTTAAGGTTGTTGTTTTTTTAATTTTAAATTTCACTTGTTCATTGTTGGTGTGTTGCATATTCAAAAACCTTATTTATTAATTTCAGATTTTTTTGATTTTTTGAGATTTAAAAAATAGACCTCCACTTTATCTGTGAGCAAAGACAATTCACTTTCTTCCTTTCTTGTTGGTCTACTTTTTGTTTTATTTTCATTCTACACAGCACTGGCTGGGACTTGTAGTGCAGTATTGAAGAAGAGTGGTGATAGGCTCCAGCCTTGCCTTTTTCTTAACCTCAGGAGGAAATCTAGCTTTCCACCATACATTTTGAAATTGCTGTAGGTTTTATGCACATGTTCTTTATTAAGTTAAACAATTTCCCTCTTATTTTATCATGAATTGGTGTTGTGTTTTGTCAAATACTTTTTATGATATGATTTTACTTGTTTAGTCTGTTGATGTACTGAATTTCTGAAATAATTTTCATATGTTGATCCAAACTTACCTACTTGAAATAAAATATCACCTCACTGCTGTATATAATTATTTTTATACATTGTTTAATTTTATCTGCTGTTATTTTGTGGAAGGTTTTTTAAATAACTTTAAAAATATTAAATTCCTACAAAGTGTGTTCTCTGATCACAATGGAATTAAATTAGATACCAATAACAGAAAAAAATCAATATTCAAATACGCAAAATTCAAATTCAAATATGCAAAAATTAAACCACACATTTCTAAGTAATCAACGGATCAAAGAATAAATAGGAAAGGAAATTAGAAAATAATTTGAGATAAATGAAAGTACAACTCACGAACACTTACTGCATGCAGCAGCACCGTGCTTGGAGAGAAGTTAAGACCTGTCAATGAAACAATAAAACAGCGATAAAAGATCATCTCAAATTACGCTAGTTTTTCACTTTAAGAAACTAGAAAAAGCAGAGGTAACTAAACTCAAAGCAAGCAAATGAAAGGGAGTAACAGAGGTTAGAGCAAAACTGATGAAAGTAAGTATAGAAAAACAGTGGGAAAAAACTAATGAACCCAAAAGTTGTTTCTTTGAAAACATTTCGAGAACACTGGGCATGCCTACACTCAGGCAAGCAGAGGTTATGTGGCAGCTCCTTGGGAGCACAACTCCTTGCAGTTTTCAGCTAGAATGGATCACTAGATCTAGAGGCAAGCAAGGCAATCTGAGAAATAGTTTCCATCCGAAAAGAGGCAAAATTGGAGAGAACACTCACCCATTCACACACACAGGCACTACTTACTACCTTGAAGCAGGGTGGATCGTAGTAGCCAGGAAGGACGGTGCAAGTGTGTAGAGGGGCCCTCTGTCTGCTGCAACAAGGCTTTCGAAATTCATGTCATGGCATCCCATAGTATGTCACCTCCTGCAAATATTCCTCTTTTGGGTTGGAACAGAACAGCTGAATACAAATCAGGAAATAGTCTGTTGACTCACCCAAATGCCTATTTTGACATATTGAAGAAACTGAATTTTCTTGCTAAAAGTAAGCATCAAATAGATCCCTTCTCTTCAATTATGCTAAGAAGTAACAAACTTAATTAATCACCAGTGCTTGGTACTTAATTTTATCTTGTGATCAAACTGATAAAAGTCAACATTTGTCAGGGGGGTGTTTATATGCCAATTATAGTAAATTATTACTAGCCCCTAATTAAGTTGTTTGTTTTGAATAAGCTGGGTTTGGTCTCTAGGCTCCTCTAATAAATGAGTTACATGTTTAAATTATGTAAAACGCAATTGTCACTGCAACACTCAAAGTTTACACTCTCTCAATACTTTCAATACTGAAATACAGACTTTCTTTTCTTTCTAAATGTTTGCATTTGCTAGGATTAGGTTGTAGCTTTTAGTGCGCTTCTCCCAATATAATCTTAGCTCTCATTAATAACTTAAATAATATAATTTTCAGAAACTTGTATTTGGGATGTTGTCATATTTTAATTAATAAGGTATTGTTATAGGTATTCTCTTAGAGCAAACATATTATTTATTTGCATAATAATCATTTACATTGGTTTCTTAAAATAATGGCATTCTTGGTTATCTTTCCTTAGAAGCTTTTATTTAGGAAACTTGTAACTAGGCATCTGGTACTATGATAAGTGTAACCCCCTTTGTTTCATCCATAAGGGTCTGAAGTTATTCTAAACTGTGTCCCACAAATATTAGAATCACAGAGTAGATTAAACAAATTCATTTTGTGTAAAGATATACATTCAATTATATAGCCTACATCAATTGAAATAATATTTAATAATTTATAGTACCATATGTTTTATTTATTTTGGTTTCTAACCTGATGAACTGAAGACTCTGGCTCTTAATTTTATAAGTTGCAAAAATAAAAAATAATAACGTCACCTATCTCATTGTGTTTTTTTAAAATTAGCTATGTAGGCCAGGCAGAGTGGCTCACACCTCTAATCCCAGCACTTTGGGAGGCCAAGGCGAGTGGATCATTTGAGGTCAGGAGTTTGAGCCCAGCCTGGCCAACATAGTGAAATCCCCTCTCTACTAAAAATATAAAAATTAGCTGGGCATGGTGGCACACGCCTGTAATCCCAGCTACTTGGGAGGCTGAGACAGTAGAATTGCTTGAACCTGGGAGACAGAGGTTTCAGTGAGCTGAGATCGTGCCACTGCACTCCAGCCTGGGTGATAGACAGACTCCATCTCAAAAAATAAAAATAAACATTAGATATGTAAAGTATCTTGCACAGTGTCTAGTAAGAGAAAATGCTAAATCAATATTAAGTAGTCAACTAAAATGTTGTTGTCAATATTAAAATTAATACTATTTTACTGGGTTTTTTGTTCTTCATGATAAATCCTTTCAAGATCTTTTTGCAGTGAAGCAATGAATGTTTTTGAGGTACAAACAGATGACAAATGTTTCCGGTTTCTGCTTGGGGATGCAGAGAGCTAGGAGGAGCACCCTTTGGAAGCCTACAGTGAAAGAGGGCTGAGTGGTGAGTTTCTGAATTTTCTCGAACCTATTCAAGAGCTGAAGTTTTGAGGACAACCAACTTACTTTAAATCAAGGAATAATTTAGAGCTGTTTCACCTACAGATTTCCAAAGTAGAAAAGGGCTGCATGTGAAAATTCAGTGAGCAAACTAAAACCATAAGGAAGAATGCCATATGCCTGGCAGAATCATTGAAAAGACACAAAACGCCAATTGTGGGTGAGAATGTGGAGGAGCAGGAATCTCACCTGTGGGTGGTGGGAATCTGGGCGGTACAGCCACTCAGAAAGGGGCTTCCCAGCTACTTAAAGAGTTAAACATTAGCTCAACATACAATCCGAAGTTCTACTCTTAAGTATCTACCAAACTGAAGTTTTACAAAATCTGTCCACACAGAGGTCTGCAGATGTTGAAAGCACCAATATTCACAATGGCCAAATCCTTCAGATAACCCAAATGTTCATACACTGATGACTAGATAGACAAAGTGTGATATTTTCTTGCAGTGGAAAACTATTAAACAATAAAAAGGAATGAAATACTGATACAGCTATAACGTGGATAAATCTCAGAAATATGCTAAGTAAAAGAAGCCAGACACACATGGCTACACATTATACAATTCCTCCTATAGACTAGACACAGAATAGATATGGATAAATTGAGACACAAAACACCACTCAGTGCTCGCATGGGGCTGGAGAAGGGAGGGGAGATGGGCTATAAATGGGCTTGAAGGGATTAGGGGGATAATAGAAATGTTTCAAAACTGGATTTTGGTGGTAGCTGGACAATTTTGCAAGTTTTCTAAAGAATCGTTGAATTGTACACTTACTATGGTAAATTTGATAGGATAAACTATACCTTATTAAAATGGTTAAGAGTCAGCATCCTAAGAAGAAGGGAATTCACACAGGCATCATTGTGCAGCTGCTTTGCGGGGGACACAGTGCAGGAAAAATATCTGGGAGCAGAGGGTGCTTCTGCCATGCAGATAGGGTTTTCAGAACACTCGCTTCAGCATTGCATCTCATGAAAGTTACCATTTCCCGGAGGATTACCCCTGACACTGGCATGGTTAGAGAAGTGCCGAGGTAGGAGTCAGGAGACCAGAGTCAGGCCCAGAAGATGCTACTGCATAGCTTTGTGACTGAGGCGGTGCTGGGGACAGGCATGAGGGGTGGCACCCGTAGCTCCTGGCTCAGGCAGAATCCTCCTTCCAGGAGGCCTCCCTCCAGCTCTCATCACAGTGGCAGCATCAGGTCTGTGTGTGCCACCCTTGCTTAAAGTACAAGATAGCCACAGACTGTCATCTTTAGAGTGGGGCTCACCTGCAATCTGTCTACCCATGGTATTAGTCCATTTTCACACTGCCTTGAAGAAATACCCAGATTGGGTACTTTATGAAGAAAAAGATGTTTATTAAAAAGATGTTTAATAATCTCACAGTCTTACATGGCTAGAGAGGCCTCACAATCATGGCGGAAGGCAAAGAAGGAGTAAAGGCACATCTTACGTGGTGGCAGGAAGGGGAAGAATGAGCAAAAGCAGGGAAAGCCCCTTAAAAAGGAATCAAATCTCCTAAGAACTTACTCACTATCCCAAGAACAGCATGAGGGTAACCGCCCCCATGATTCAGTGACCTTCCACCAGGTCCCTCTCACAACACGTGAGGAATATGGAAGCTACAGTTCAACATAGGGTCTGGGTGGAGACACAGCCAAAGCATATCACCAGTCCAGTCCCAAGCCTTCAGTGTGGCATGAGGACCATGGATGGATGTGGTCTGGTGCTCTATAAGGAACATAATGATTCGGTCCTAGGGTCTTCTCAGGATCACATAAGGACACCTGTCAGTTTTTCAGGATTCACGTGGGCTGTGGCGCTAGACTAGATGAGACTCGACATTCTCTCATTTAAACCTAAAATCGGTGCTACAAGGGGGTCCTATCTGTAGACATATTTGTGCTGTTGAGGAGACACCCACAGACAGGTGGAGCAGACACCCTCCATCACCTGGAGGGCAGGTCATGGAGCAGGGCTTTGGCTGGGTAGTCTGACTCACACAGGTGCTTGCCCATGGCTCTGACATGGACATGGGATGCCAGGTCTTAAGTGGCCGGGCAGTATCCCTCGGGACAGCAGACCTCAGGAGCTGGGTGAGTGTCCATTTACCCAGGAGGTGCCATGCACAGTTTCCCTGCGTTTGTCCCAGGCAGACCTCGGGCAATGCCCACATCTCAGCCCCCATGTACACAGCAGACATCAGGAAGCAGGCAGGGTTCCCTGCAATTGTGAAATCACACACACACACACAAAATGGAAAGTTTAAAAGTTTGCTTAATGAGAGAACCTCCACAGGGAGAAAAAAATACAAAGAATTTAGGTATCTGACTTAAATGTCGAAGTGACATTTACCAAATTTGAGGCAAGATTTAGATTCTAGAAAACCCGGCCTGAGCTGGGCCCGCACGACAGCTGTGCCTTTGCAGCCCGAGGGTGGCATCCGTATCTTCAATGGCCAAACACACGTCCGGTGACAAGGAGGCTCTGTGGGCTGTGGTTTCAACTTTCAGTATCACTTCACAAATCCCTTTTCATACCCTCAGACGGCAAAATCGGATACAGATGAGGAGGGCGCAGGGAGAGATGAAAGGAGCAGGAGGCGGCCTCACAGAGCTCAGGAACGGAGAGGAGGCAGAGAGTTGCACTGATAACACCAGAAGCCAGGCCCAGTTGATGCTGATCCTGTAAATAAGGGATGAGATCACATTTTCCTCCTCGACAGAGAAGATAGCCGCTTTGAAGTCACCCCACACGGGCCTTTCGTCTGATTCTCACTCACCTAAACTCAAAATTAAAAACTAGTTTTGACGATTTCAAGGCTCCTTTGGGAGCAGCAGGCTTTGGATTTTTAATAACCTGCCTTTTCTTTTTTGCTTATCTATCTATTTATCTCTATATCTGTATCTATCTATATCTGTATATATATCTACATCTATATCTATGTATATAGATATACAGATATAGACATACACTGTGTCACCGAGATGAAATTTCCTTTCTGCAATGAGCAGCCCCACGCCTTACTAGCTCACCCCTCCCCCGTCAACCCCTGCTGTCCACCTCCCCTTCCTTTTTTCTGTCTGTTTCCGTCCGCATTAATCACTTCCATCCTAATGAGCTCCCAGTGAGGATGCCCGGATGTATTTGCCTCTCTGCGTTGGTAGCAGGTCAAGTAACTCATGTCTCCTGGGTTCAGAAAGAAGGATAAACCCACCAAGACCTATGAAAACTCCCAGGTAAAATTCTTTTGGTAAAATCATTAAATACTTTTATCATAAATAACTGCTTAACATCCCATGATTCAAGGCAGAAGGCATCTCTTAGCCTTCGTCAAAATTATATGCTTAGTCCTAGGTGTGTGGCATTGAACAGATGTTGTTCAATGATTTTTTTTCTTTTAATTTAGAGAATGGATTATAAGTCTTGAGGCTGTGATCGATCAGAAGTTTTAGTTTGGAGGCATAGTGTTGGCCCAAAGCTAAATACATGGATATATTTGGGCTGTTTGTCTAATTATTCTTGATGTTCATTTCCTGGTCTATAAAACAGGGTTGGTATGAAACTGTTCCAGAATATTAAAATGTTAAGGTATTTTGAAAAATTAAAGCAAGAAGTAAATAAAAGACAGCCAGCCCCTTCATTTTGTCTGCTAGTCTGTTTTATTCCACTCAGCATCCCTCAGCCCACAGTAAAAAGCCTTAGGGTGAGATCCCCTCATCGAAAGCAGACCAGCACAGTCTCTCTTTCCTGCAGAGCACTTGGGGTTAGTGATCAAAATACCTTCTGCTGAAGAAATGAAATATACCCAATTTGCTGTGGTCTGGAATACACAATTGTCACAACGTAGTTTTTCCCATTTTACAGAACGCAGCCATTTCCTGGGGCCAAAGGTTTCAAACTGCTCAGATTCCCAGGAAACTAAACCCCAAAGACTTGTTAGAACATTCCACCCTGTAAAGAGCACCCTGCACTGTGGCAGTCTGTCATGATATCTTGGTAACCATTAATCAATGACTAACAGGTTTACCTGTAAACAAGAGAGCCACCAACCTCTACGTGACTGGCAGTTCAGTTGTTTTTCTCTACTATGAATTTCCTATGTGCTCGCTAATTTTATTTTTTGGTAAAAGCTCAAAGATAATAGAGATGAAGAAAATTTTACAAGAAGAAAGAAATATAGAATGAAGAAAATATCCCCCATTAAATATTCTGTGCAATGTGAAAAAGAGGACTGTTATTCAATTCAGTAGCAGGACACTCTCAGACTAGCTCTTAGAAATCCATGAGCCACAGGAGCATAATTTGAGAACTACAGTGGAAATGTGTGTGTCGCTTTTGTTTGCACCACAGAGGAGACCTAGGAAGGATGAGAAAAATTCAAGAGAAGAAGAAGAAGATTGGCAGATGGGCCTTTGTCTTCTTCTGGGTCCTGGCAGTTGGTGTCGGTCTCCCTTCTTCATGTGTGTGTTGGGGACGGAGAGAATGAACGTGTGTGTCTGGGGTGGGGGCAGGGGGGTGATTATAAACTGTTTATTTTCAAACCAGTCTTTTTTTACTTCTTTTTATTTTTATTTTATTATAACATAAGAGCACTCATCTTAAGTGTGCATCTCAATGAATTTTTACCGAGGTACATACCTTTATAATTATCAAGGCATAAGAAACTTCCAGCATCCTTACAGCTTCCCCAGGGACCCCTTCCACTTGACAGAGCCTCTCCCACTCCCATTGGTAACCTCTGTTAGGATTTTTCTTTTCTTTTTTTTTTTTTTTTGATATGGAGTCTCGCTCTGTTGCCCAGGCTGGAGTGCAGTGGCGCAATCTCAGCTCACTGCAACCTCCTCCCATGTTCAAGGGATTCTCCTGCCTCAGCCTCCCGAGTAGCTAGGATTACAGGCGCCTGCCACCATACCCAGCTAATTTTTGTATTTTTAGTAGAGATGGAGTTTCACCAGGCTGACCAGGCTGGTCTCGAACTCCTGATCTCTGGTGACCCACCTGCCTCGGCCTCCCAGAGTGCTGGGATTGCAGGCATGAGTCACTGCGCCCGGCCCTCTGTTAGGATTTCTGTCTCACAGGGTTCGTTCCATGTGGTCTGAACCTTATCCAAGCGGAGCCTTCAGCATGTGCTCTTGATAGGGCTGGGCTTCTTCACTCGACAGTTAATGATTCGAGTGTTTTAATATAAAAATGACAAAGCCTTGGATCTTTCATATTAAGAAATGCTTAACTAGGAGCTGCAATCTAATATCCAACGACAGGAGCAAAGTGTTTCATGAATGGAGACAAATGTGCAGGTGCTGATGATCAAAGAAAGTAACTCCTGCTGTCACTCATTCACTACACTTCATTTCCGCTTCCCCGGCTGTCACTCATTCACTACACTTCATTTCCGCTTCCCCGGCTGTCACTCATTCACTGCACTTCATTTCCACTTCCCCGGCTGTCACTCATTCACTGCACTTCATTTCCACTTCCCCAGCTGTCACTCATTCACTGCATTTCATTTCCGCTTCCCCCCGGCCCTCCATCCTGTTAGGAAATAGAGATCTCTCTCTGCTACTGTATTTCACACACTGTGCACCTCAGAACAAATCCGGATATGCAGGATCAAATTCTATGACTAAGGTACATGTATTTCGTAGTTGTTTTCTTGATAATGTGGGTGCTAGTTGTTCTTATTCTCAGGCGTTATAGAATGGCACTAATCCTAGGTAATGGTGTTATCTTCTGGAAAACATTATATTGAAAGTTGCCTATAATAGCTAATCTGACTTTGACTTTTGGAAATATAAACAATTTGAAAAAAATAAGAAAATAATAATAATCCTATGCTGAGTGACTCCCTGTTTTATGCACACAGCAGCCTGCAGAAATGTGCCACAGAGCAATTTCTGGGTCAGAATAAATTAGAGTTTGTAATGCATTTGCCTATAGTGAGAAAGCATAAAAAAGAAATGAGGTAATTTTTTCAGGGTTTGATACTCATTGTTCACTGAAACATAATGCAAGTTATGTCTTGAGCCATAAAATAAAATAATGAGGCAATATATTCCAAGTCGCTCCCATAGATTAAAAGCTCAATATTCCAACTGTGTATATTTAATGACTCTCCAGCACTGATCACTTATTTTCAAATGGTATTTGGAGATAATAAGCTCTATTCTTTGCAGTGTGCTGTGGCATTCACTTTTCCACAATGAAGGGTGAAAAGCAATCTCTTTGTATGACTAGATTCAGTGGGTCCCATCCCAGAATCTCTTTTCTACAGTCATTGCAGCAGCTTTTGCCCCTGGTCTGCCAGGCCCTGCATTTTCTGGAACAGTGGGTAAAATTCTGCAGCATTTCAGTGATAGTCACTTCGTCCCAAAACTCATTAATTGCTTTTAATTGTTTAACAGTAATTGGCTTCTGAACTGCAAGAGAGAAAACCAGAGAAAATGGTAATTCTCAGGATAAATATAGCCATAATAATAATTTTTATATAATGAGTTTCAGAGCACTTACATACTACATATAATAAAGGAAGGTCAGGAAGGGGTTACATTTTACCACTTCAGAGTGAAGTAGAAGATGATTGGCTTTAGTTGTATACAACTCTCAGTGTGTAGAATTACATCTCATGCTTTCTCTGTAACTCATTGTTCACATGTAGCTGAATGAGAAGGTTTTCAATTTACAAAGAACATCTGAAGTGTGAGAAGGAGAATGTATAACAAAGGCATTCGAGACAGGGGGAAGGAGTGTGAAAATCGTAGGAACAGGAAAGGTGCGGGGCCCAGTATTCCTGGAGAGAAAGTCCTCTGGGACCAGCTCACATGGGGTCTTCAACAACACACTGAATGCATTAGACCTCCTCTTGCAATATAAGTGCAATAGCAGATTTGGTGAGGAAGAGAAAAAAAAACTATTTTTTGGAAAATTAATTTTGATAACAGTATGAAAGATGTCAGAGAAAGAAAATAGCAACGTGCATTACAATAGTCTGTAGGTGTTTGTATTAAGAAAAGAATGAGGAACAGACACAGAATGACAAGAAGCGCTGTGGAAATGGAAGGAGGCACAGGTGAGACTCCCTGGTGCTACAGTCATAGGGCTCAGTGGTTCTGGGTGCTTGTGATGGTGGCCACCACCCGTGACCTCAGAGGGCACAGCTAGTGCCTCACAGTGGGGTTAAACCCTCCTTCGGTTCACTTTCTTTTCTTTCTTTCTTTTTTTTTTTTTTTTAGACAGAGTTTCCTCTATCACCCAGGCTGGAGTGCAGTGGCACAATCTCAGCTCACTGCAACCTCCACCTCCCAGGTTCAAGCAATTCTCCTGCCTCAGCCACCCAAGTAGCTGGGATTACAGGCATACACCACTGTGCCCAGCTAATTTTCGTATTTTTGGTAGAAATGGGGTTTCACTGTTTTGGCCAGGCTGGTCACGAACTCCTGACCTCAAGTGATCCACCTGCCTTGGCCTCCCAAACTGCTGGGAGATTACAGGTGTGAGCCCGGCCTTTCCATTCACTTTCTCATACTTATTGGACATCAGATTACTCCATAAGTGGTTAAATAATTCTGCCAAGTAAAATTAGCACGGCTGTTTTACTCTTATTTCTAAGCCTTCCTATGACTTTGAAGCTCTGTCGTAAAAGAGTAATCACACATATTATCATCACATGTCTCTAATCTCGGAAAGCAGGTCATGTGTCTTCAAAGTGCTGCTGAGACAGAGAGGAAGCAAAAAGCACAAATCCATGTAGTCATGGGGAGAGAAGAATTTCTACTCTACCCCTTTTATGCTTGTCTACCCAAAAAGCCCCATGGAAATAACTCAAATTTTTTTAATGTTTTGAACAATTTAATCATATCTGTTCATGGATTTTCATCAATTTTCTTACCTCTCCAAATCTGGCTACTATCAAACCAGTCACCTACGAAGTCTAGAATGACATTTTCTACTCTAGCTGTTTTCTGTCAATAACTCATTTCTATCAAAATAAATGTATCCGAGGGATGAATTGTTTTAAAGTCTACTTATAGTATTGCATGTGTTTGTTTTTCACAGCATGTTAATATAAACTAGAACCTAGTATATTTTTTGAGAAAGGGTATTGCTCTGTTGCAGTGGTACAATCAGGGCTTACTGCAGCCTGGACCTCCTGGGCTTAAGCAAACCTTCCAGCTCAGCCTCCCAAGTAACTGGAAACACAGTCCTGGCTACTTTTTTATTTTTGCTTTTTGTAGAAATGGGGTCTCACTGTGTTATTTTTGCGTTTTGTAGAGACGGGGTTTCACTCTGTTGCCAAGGCTGGTCGCAAACTCCTGGGCTCAAGTTATCATCCCACATTGACCTCCCAAAATTCTGGAATTACAAGCATGAGCCACTGCACTCAGCGAATTTAATATTAATGTGTTATTTTATTGAGCTTTCAGAGCACAAGCTATCAGATAATTTTGGTCAAGAAGAAAAGAAAAATACTTAGATCTTTCAGTCTATGAAATTAGCCATCTGGATTAATTAAATTTATATTTAACAGATACTGCCAACTTCTCTATGTGTTGTTTGCACATAATCATGGTACCTAATGTAGCCTTGATTATCTTGCTTTATTTTTCTTTTCAATTATCTAAGTAATCTTTTCTTCATCATGACATATTGAAATGCATTTGTTTTGTGCATTACAATGTTACCAACCCTACCTACTGGCTCATTTAAAAGGTTAAAGGTGATAGTCCCATGATTTATTGTTCATTAGCTTCTCCCCTTCCAAAATTCTTCTGATATCATTTGTAGTCATCAACAAAGCTATTTACAAACTTGCAAAGCAGGCATTTGCTTGGCGTTGAATGTTATGACAAGCAATGCCTTCCCTCAAGATGTTCATAGTTCAGTTAAGGAGAGAAGTCAGTTCAGGCTGCTGTAAAAACATTACCATGAACTGAGTGGCTTAAAACAACAAACACTTACTTTTCACAATTCTGGAGGTGGGAAGCCCAAGGTCAAGGTGCCAGCAGACCCAGCATCTGGTGAGGAATCTCCTCCCAATTTGCAGAAGACTGTTTTGCTTCTCTAAAAAACCCGGCCTTCACCCTCTTACTCTGAAATCTGCTCAAAATCTCTGAGACCCTTCAGTATGAGCCCCACGTAATGCTCCTGAGACCATAGCAATAGAAAATTATGCTAGAACATGAATTTCATGGATGTCCAACAGTGCATTCAACATGTATGGTTATCTATGCATTCAACACGTATGATAACACGATTCCGTGTCCCAGGCACTATTCCAATTGGCAGGAACACCATGATGAACAGACACATCCCTTGTCTACATGGAGAAGTTTAGATTCCTTGCCTGCATGTTGATGAGGACCTGACCCTAAAATTTATATTTTGTTACAGAACTCTACATTATAAGACAAATAATCAGATTTTCCCTAAAAGCAGGAATGATTTTCCAGCCTCAATATCAAGCATAAAGAGCCTTTTGTGACCCTACCCACCTGAAATCGAAAGTTCACTGAATTTTTCAACCATAGAGTTAGGGCTCCATTGAGAGTTGTAACCGCCAACACTCAGTTGTATTAAGAATTCATCATTTCACTGAAGAATTTTGCTTAATTCTGCAACTGATTTAAGGGAAATGGATCCAGAACATTGCAAGTTATTTTGCTAATGTGATATTATCAGTTTTCAGTCAATACAATGTTTGTAAAACAAATGTCATATATATTCATGGAAAAATTAAATGAAGAAAAATCTAGCTCTATTTTCCATTAATCTTTTAACATAATAACTATGTTTGCTATACTTTTTATGTTAAAACATGCTTAAGTTCTTGGAATAAGCCCTATGTAGATAAGACATATTATTTCTCATCTACATTCCTAAATAAAATGTACTGATAATTTTTTCCAAATAAACAAAATGCTCATGAAATTATAGAGGGAGAGAACTGAGATTCTGAATTAAAGACGACATAAAGAGAAAGGCTGAATGTATTTGTTGTTATCCCAGACACATTTTAATTTTATTTTTGTGTATATATATTTGGGACTATTTATAATAAGCATGCATGTTGGAAGAGGATATAAATGAATTAAGGTGCGGTCACTCTCCTTTTAAAGTGTTGCTTTAGGGTTGATGGTTTACATGGAAATATTTTTTGAATATAATGAAAAGAATGAAAAAGATGATCACAATACAGCATGCATATCTAAAATGATCTAATTTTATTTAAAGCTGTCCAGCTAACAATTAAACTCAACATTTATTGAAATGTTAGAAGATGTAAACTATCAATTCTTTTTGTTTCTAACACCTTTTTCTTTCCCCATTTCTCACTGCTATTCCCCCACCCACACACATAAATATTGAAAAGTCAATTATGTTCCTGGTATAGCTTCTTTGTAAGCTATCCTACAGGAGCAGTTAATAAACAGCTATTTTCCTTCTGCCAAAATGACCTGAACATGGCCCATTCATTCATCTGTTAATTTTCTTCTTTGGTAAATATATTTTGAGCAGCCACATAGCTCTAGATGCTATTCTAAAGACTGGGTGTACAGCATTCAGGAAAATATGCGAAAAATCAGCTATGACAGCCTGGAAATTGTATGTTAGGGGTGATAATTGCTACAGGAAAAAAGAAAAAGACTAAGGACTATTAGAAATGTGTAGCTGAGTCCACACCGTGGAGTAGAGGTGAACAGAAAAGGCCAGGAAGGCTGGCACTTGAGAAGGCCCCCAGGGAGTGAGGCTCACATGGCGCAGGATGGGGCAGGCACTTGGAGCGGCTGGCTCTGGCAGGGTGCATGTCAAGGGTGTTTTGGGAAGACAAACGGCTGTGAGACTGAGGTGGTGAATGAGGAGAGTGGTCAGAGATGAGACCTGCCATGGACAAAGTGAGTCCTCAGATTCCTTTGTGGAAGCCCTAACCAACCACCATGGGAATGTATCAGGAGGTGAGACCTTGGGAGGTGATTAGGTTTTGATAAGGTTATGAGGCTGTGCACCATGAATGCATGAGTACCTTATTAGAGGAGTCAGCAGAGAGCTCCCTCTGTCTGCCATCTGTGAGTTGACAGCCAGCAGGTGGCCTTTTGCAAGTCAAGAATGTAGCCCTCACCAGGGAGAGGAAAAGGCAGGAACCTTGATCTTGGACTTCCAGACTCTAGAAGCATGAGAGCCTTAATGCCTGTTGCTTGAGCCACCCAGTCTGTGGTATGTTGTCACACCAGCCCAGGCAGGCTAATTCTAGATCTGAGAGTTAGTGGTGCCAGATTATGTGGAGTGTAGAGTTAAGGTGATCATATTCCCAGTTCATGCCTGGGAATAATGGCCTTATTCAATAGTAACTATGGATAAATCTGCATTTTTGCCCTCAGAAATGAACCAAGGTGAACAGAAAAGCATGCTGTCATCTCACTTCTAGGCCACTGTAAGAACAGTCTCTTTCTTGAGGTGGGTGATGAGTGGGTGTCAGAAGTGTCATAATTTTTTACTTTGTTTGAGCAGGATCATTCCAGGTGATGTGTTAAAACTAGAACAGGGGTTGGCAAACTTTGACTCTTTGTGCTCTGTACCACAGCTGAGTAATAATCATTTTAAACTCAGGGGGCTGGCTGGGTGGGGAGGTTCACTCCTCTAATCCCAGCACTTTGGGAGGCCGAGGTGGGCAGATCAGTTGAAGTCAGGAGTTCGAGATCAGCCTGGCCAAAATGGTGAAATCCCATCTCTACCAAAAAATACAAAAATTAGGTGGGTGTGGCGGCACATGCCTGTAATCCCAGCTACTCAGGAGGCTGAGGCACGAGAATTGCTTGAACCTAGGTTGCAGTGAGTCGAGATAGTGTCACTGCACTCCAGCCTGGGCGAAAGAGCAAGACTCCACCTCAAGATAAATAAATAAATAAAATACAAATAAATATGCAAATAAACTCAGCAGGCTGTACCATCTCTGTCACAGCAACTCAACTCTCTTTTGTAGCAGGAAAAGCAGCTATAGGTCATACGTCAACAATTGGGTGTGGCTGTGTCCCAGGAAAACTGTATTTTGGGACCCTACAATTTAAATTTAATATAAAATACATGGGTCATAAAATATTCTTCTCTAAAAATATAGAAAACATTACTAGCTCAACAGCTAAACACACATAGGGGAGGCTGGGCCTGGCTCAGAGGCTGGCATCCATCAGCCCAGGACCAGAATGAAGGAAACAAGGCACAAACGGGAAGGCCAGGCAAAGGCTATTCCAACAGCAACATGAGAGACTGTGACTGTTTGGGCTTGGGTAACAGTGGAAATTATTCTGCATTTTCAAAAAATCTGCACATGGTTTGAAAAACTGCTTTGAGACTCTTATGAGAGTTTGGAGGTCACGCATGAGCAAAGGAGAAATTCAAAGATCCGAGGGCCTGATAGGGTCAATCTTCCAAGAGTGTAGATGGAGATTCCAGGTGGAGGGAGTTGAGGAACATGGGGAATTCAGTGCTTAGCATACCTATGCTCTGATAATTATTTGATATCCAGGTGGAGATGGGAAGTAGGTAGTTGGATGTATAGATCTGTAATGAACGGCAGAGGCCCAGGTCATTGACACCAGTGGGGAAGCCATGGATATGTAGATGATCTAGAATAAGGGGCTGAATTAGAAAGTGAATATCATCAGAAAAAAAAAAAAAGTCATCTGACAACCAAGTCCTGAGATCTCCAGCATCCCAGGGTCCATGAGCACCAACAGATGAGGTCCAGACAGGGGGAAGGAAGATGTCTTCACAAACATTATGTCCCAAGAATGAGCGAGTGTTCAATGCTGCTTTCGTTTAAATGAAGAAAGCATTGAGAATTAACCCTTGAATTTAACAGTGTGGAAATCCCTCGTGACGATTTTAAGAGGAGTTTCGGTAGATCATTGAGGAGACATGTTTAAAGGAGGCTTCAAAAAGAGCAGAAGAAGACGGACGAAAGCCGATGTGCACAGTCAAGTCCTGGGCCTGAAAGAGAGAAAAGAGATTGTGGCCAGAAAATGTACTGGAGTGAAGATGTTTTAGGATTTATTTATTATGAAGTAGAGAAAAAAGTACTTAAAACTGTCATGCACCCATCGTATAAATTCAATAATTATCATAATTTTGCCATACTTGCTTCACTTATCTTGTTTTTATAATTTTTAAAGCAGTGTAAAGCAAATCTTCAATCCTCTGTCATCTTACCCACACATAGGCATGTCTAAAGATAACAACAATTTATTCATCACAAGGCTTTTCTAGGCCTGAAGAAAGTAATATAGCAACCCCCTTATTCTCCATTTCACCTTCCACAGTTTCAGTTACCTGTGGCCAGCCATGGTCCAAAAATATTAAATGCAAAATTCCAGATATAAACAATGCATACGTTTTAAATTGTGTTCAGTTCCACACCGTGTGATGAAATCTCACAGCGTCCCACTCCATCTTACTCAGGATGGGAATCAGCCCTCCGTCCAGTGCCTCCACCCTGTCTACACCTCATGCCTGTTAATCACCTAGGAGTTGTCTCAGTTATCAGATAGAACATTGAAATACTGTAGTGCTTTTGTACAGACAACCCTTATTTTACTTAATAATGGCCCCAAAGCACAAGAGAAGTGATGTTGACATATTGTTATAGTTGTTCTATTTTGTTATTAGTTGTATTGGTCAGGTCTCTCCAGAGGGATAGGCCCAGTAGAAGCTATGCATATATAAAAGGCAGCTTAATAGGGAGAATTGATTCAGGTGATTACAAGGCAAAGTCCTACCCTAGGCTGTCTGCAAGCTAGGGAAAGAGAGAAGCCAGCAGTGGCGCAGTCCAAATCTGAAAGCCTCAAAACCAGGGAAGCTGACAGTGCAGCCCTCAGTGAGACTGATGGCCCAAGAGCCCCCAGGAACCCACTGGTGTAAGTCCCAGAGTCCAAAGGTGGAAGAATCTGGAGTGTGATGTCCACGGGCAGGAGGAGTGGAAGCAAGGGTCAGGCACCGGAAGTTCAGCCAGAAGACCCAGCAAACAAACTTATCTCCTCCCTCTACCTGCCTTGCTCCAGCTGCGCTGTTGATACCTGATGATACCCTTCACTTTATTAGTTGTTATACTCTTACTATGCCTAATGCATAAATTAAACTTTATCTTAGACATTTACATAGAGGGGAGAACATAGTATATGTGGGGTTTCCTATGAGGCATGGTTTCAGGCATCCACTGGGGATCTTGGAACTTACCTCCCATGGATAAGTGGTGACAACCGGACAATGTTCTCAGTATTGTCGAACACTCCGTCAGTAAAGACAATGTTTTCTGCTCCTCTGCCACCCTTCATATTCTCACATTAATGCCTAAATATACAGACTCTTGTGTGGGTAAACTAAGGCTTAGGATGTTTTCTGCAGCCTCATTATTCGTTCATTGATATGTTTTAGACCATCTTCCAATTGACATTTTTCTGATTGTAGTTGCTAGGTTTTTTGTTTGCTAAATGTAGTTGTTCCTACTTTTTTTCTTCTTTAATTTTTGTAGACAGATGTAACTATTTTCTTCTGTATATCATATTGTACAAAATATTTAGAAAGCCCAACCTTTTGCAAAAATCATAAAATGCATCGTCCATGTCTTATTTTAGTAATTTTAATCATTACTCATCAAAATTAAAGTCTTTATTCTACCTTTAACTTCATAAAAAAAGACGTTGTTTAAGTGCTTTAGGTTCACAGTAAAATCAAGAAGCAGGTACAGAGAGTTCCTGTATGGCCTCCATCCCCCCACACGCACAGCCTCCCCAGTCGTTATCCCCACCAGAGGGTGCGTTTGTTACAATTGATGAACCCACCTAGACAGGTCATCATTACTTAGACCATCATGTACATGAGGGCTCACTCCTGGTGTTGTGCATTATGTGGGTTTGAACACTTTTGTAATGACATGGATCCACTATTGTAGCCTCATGGAGAGTAGGTTCACTATGCTAAAAAGCACCTGTGCTTCAGTTATTCATCACTCTCTCCACCAACCCCTGGCAGCCACTGATCTTTTCACCATCTTCATGATTTTGCCTTTTCCAGAATGTCATATATTTGGAATCATATAGCATGCAACCTTTTCAGATTGACTTCTTTCACTTAGTAACATACATTTAAGGGCTCCTCGATGTCTTTTCATGACTTAGCAGCACATTTCTCTTCAGTGCTGAGTGATATTCCACTGTCTGGATGTTCCACACTTTATTTATCCACTCTCCGACTGAAAGACATCTTGATTGCTTCCAAGTTTGGGTCATCATGATTAAAGATGTTATAAACATCCATGTGCTGTTTTTGTGTGAATGTAAGTTTTGAAGTCCTTTCGGTAAATACCAATGGGAGGATTCACTCAATATGTGGTATCTTAGTCTTTTTCATATTGCTATAACAGAATACCATAGACTAGGTAATTTATAATGAACACAAATTTATTTGCTCAGTTTGGAGGCTGGGAAGTCCATGAGCATGGCTCCAATATCTGAAAAGGGCTTCATGCTGCCTCATCACATGGTGGAGGGCAAAACAACAAGAGCTGGGAGAGCAATGGAGCAAGATGGCACCAAACTCATTTTGATAAATGAACCTACTCTCCTGATAACAAACCGGCTCCCACAATCATGAGGTCAATCCGTATATGAGAGCAGAACCCTCATGAGTTAAAGACCCTCATTAAGCCCCACCTCTCAACAGTGTTGCACTGGGGATTCAGTTTCCAAGACATGAATTGTAAGGGACACATTCAAACCGTAGCCTATGGTAAACATATGTTAAGATTTTGAAAAAGCTGCACACTCTCTTCCACAGTGGCTGTACCATTTTTCCTTCTCATCAGCAGTGAATGAGCGTTCCTGTTGCTCCACATCCTCACCAGCATTTGGTGTTGTCAGTGTTCTGGTTTTGGCCATTCTGATAGGTGTGTACTGGCATCTCATTATTGTCTTGATTTCCATTTTCCTGATGACATAAAACGTGAAGCTTCTTTTCATGTGCTAGTGCTGTCTGTAAAACTTCTGTGTTGAAGCACCTTTTTTTTGGTCCTTGGCCCATTTCTAAAAATCTGATTGTTTCTTTTCTTATTGTTGAGTTTTAGGAGTTCTTTACACATTTGGATAACATTCTTTTATTACGTGTATTTTTTGTAAATACTCCCAGTCTGTAGTTTGTCTTTTTTTTTTTTTTTTTTTGACAGGGTCTTGCTCTGTCGCCCAGGCTGGTGAGCAGTGGTGTGATTATGGCTCACTGCAGCCTTAACCTCCCCAGCTCAAGTGATGCTCTCACTTTGCCGCCCCCCCCCCCCACCCCGGACCAAGTAGCTGGGACTACAAACACGCACCACCACGTCCAGCACATTTCTGTATTCTTGTGGATAATAAAAAAGAAACCATTTATATATTTTTCCCAAACTGCTAGTCAGTTGTTGCAACCACATTTATTCAAAAACTCAACCTTCTGGCACTTATTTGAACTAAAATATTTATCATTTCACACATCCCATGTTACAGTGCTTATGATCAACTCCTCTATTTCCTTCCAGGCTCTCCACATGTTTGCTGTCTGACCAGGGCCACGCACTTTCACACCTGATTGGGACATCACACTTTATGACTCTTTACTTTTCAGAATGACCCGGGCTATTTCTACATGCCTTGAAAAATCATCAGAATATATTTTAATTTCCAAATAATTCTAATAACACTAAATAAATGTAGTTAATTTGGAGTGATTTGGTATACCTGCAATATTTTAGTTTTCTATACAGGGACATATTGTTTCTGCTTTTTTCTTTACATTTCTATCTTCCATGTCAATTTTTACATTTGTATTTTTAGGTGAAGCATCTCAGTTGTAAAAATCTGAAATCCAAAATGCTTCCAAATCTTTTTTGAGTGAAAACATAATGCTCATTGTTACATTTCAGCTTTTCACATTTGGGACAATCAATATAATGCAAATATTCTAACATTTTAAAAAATCCAAATCACATCTGGTCCCATGGACTTTAGATAAGAAATACTCAACATGTGTACAGAAACACCATTAAAAGAAAGCTTTGGTGATAAGAATTTTAGTTTTCTTAATTGCTATTATGAAAGGAAACACTTACTTTGTTACACTTTTAAATTAGATATGGAGATTACAAGAATACTTGAGTGTGTGGTCTGTTTACCTTATGTCTTGCATCGTTTTAAAAGGTTTTCCAGGCATTTACGCTGGACATTACATCTAGAACTTGTTTGTGTTAAAATAATTGAATAATTGTAATTTGTGTTTTCCTTTCTGATATTTCTTGTTTTTTTCTCTTTTCATAATGTGTTGCTTAGAATTTTCAAAATAATATAGGTCTTAGTAAGCAATATTGTATTCTTATTGTAATGAGTATGGGTGAGATTACTCTTTAAGAATAAAGATAAATGTTGGGTTGAGATATATGTTTTCACATGGTGAAGCAATTATTAATATATAATATACATATTTACATAAATATATTTCAATTAGAAAAGCAAATATCCATTGAGCGCCGACTAGACAAA